>NC_000003.12:110372240-110675270 GCF_000001405.40 Homo sapiens
CAGTTCAAGATTAACCAAAAATTATGCTTGTTGGAAAAATTTCTAAAAATGTTGATACCAAATTTGGAGGTTGTTGTGGATGTGTCCTGTACTGCTCCCAGCTACCTTTGAAAATTACCTTTAATAAAGAGATATGCCATGTCCAAGATCACTCCCCCATTCCTTGGGGACCTGCAGCTGGTCACAAATTGAATTAGGAGTATACACACCCAGCCTCCTTATTTTAACTCAGGAAAACTATAAAACACTGTTACAGCATCAGAGTTCTTTGTGAAGTGGATTGAAGTCATACTCTGACTGTGCTGTAACTCACAATCACAAGTTCTCAAATTCTCCTTTCTTCTCTTTACCCTAGAAGTGTTGATCCTCGGAGCCTTTCCTCATAAAAAATCCTGCATGCTCTTCTCCATCGGAGTTTGGTTCCTAAAAAAAATTGAGGTGGAAGTTTGAATTTGATTTTAAAGGTTAGAATACCTGCTCTCCTGGCAATAAGGATGTCAAGAAAATAAGGCAATAAGATGCTGGGTGGATTTACAGTACAGGGTAGCCATGTAAATTTAAAACATAGGATGAGGATGTCTGGGATTAGTGCAGTTGAGAATATTCTTTTACCAAATTCTGCTAAAACCTCTGTGTCTGCTGGAATAGAGTTCAATGCTTCATCGTTTTCTGAAGTCTTTTTACAGCCCCGATTGGACAACTCTTGCCCCCTCAGAAAATTCCCCTACTTTCCTTCTACCCACTAAGGCAACAACTAGATTAAATCACCACATATTAAGGTCAAGGATGTCCTGAACTTCCTAAGAAAGGAAAAATAAACGATCATGAAAAAAACTATAGCACCTAGAAAATATGTAGTAGAAGGATTCAGAAGACATTTAGAATTGTATTCTGCAGAAGTTCAATGGGGGCAGAAAAGGGTAGAAGAACATAAGTGGAGTAAAAAAGCGTTTCTTGATATGGAAGCAAACCCTCAACCCTCAAGATACAGGAGTTACCACCCTTGCTGGAACTCCTGTGAGACATTGCTAACAAACTGCAGAGATAGCTGGCTGTTAGAAGCTTGAACAAAATGATCAGCCAAAGTAGAACAGCCAGGAATGCCATCATAGACAGTGGAAGAAACGGATTCAGAGTTAAGAGAAGCAGGCACTCTCAAGTGGATAAACTATATAAGAACTGAAAACACATCAAATGACTGTCTAGCTATAAGAGCTCCCAAAGGTCATTCTGTTTACCAAGAGCATAAAGAACTTGGTGAGAAGAACTCCAGCCTCACTGTGAAGCTTGATGGTGACTGTACTTTGTAGACCAGGAATACCATAGGAAATATTGTTACCAAACTGGGATCAGTAACAGCAGTGAGGTTGATAGGATCCCTCAATAATAAAGGACATATGTGAGTTTCAATTGTCAAAGGCAGTAGCAAGATGAGAGTGATAGCCAGAGGCAATAACCTGCATAGAAGTATAAAAATATTTATTAGAACCAAGATAGATGGGCACCACTACAGGTTTTACTCAATTTCTGTGACCAGAACAAATCAAAAATAGATTATTAGAATAATGATAAGTAAAATATCACTACTTCTTTCCCTGTTTTTAGATCTGAATCACATTTCTGACCCAGAACTGCTGACGGAAGGAGAGGACAGATCCCCAGGAGACAGCACCATGCTGCACCATCAGTAAGAACTTCCCTAGACTTTTTCCAAAGGTATCTATGATTATTTACTCAGGTCACAATACCCTGGAGAAATGGGACTACCCAAGCATTGTGGAGACTGTGGGACACAGGGTCAGAGTTGATGTTGATACCCAGGAACTAAATGTATCATTGTTGCCCCCCAATTAGAATGGGGGCAAGTGGGAACCAGGTAACAAATGGAGTCCAGTCTAGGTCTAGTTCACAGTGACTATGTGACTCCATCAATAGATATTTCTGTCACCAGATTCATAGATAGAGTGAATATGTTTGGTAGCAGGCAGAATTCCCATGTTAGTTACTTGCCCTTTGGAGTAACAACTTTTGTAGTAATAGCCTATGAAACTGATATAGATTCATGTCTACTTTAAGAATAAAAAGAATACTGTGCTAATTGTGCCTATCATATTCAATTCACTGATCCAGCCCCTGCAAAAATCAAATGAATCCTGAGAGATGACAGTAAATTACTAATCAAAATAGTACTCTAATTGCAACTGTTTTGTCAAATACACTTTGACAAGGGTAACTTTGGTCAAGTCAATTAACACAGCCTCAGGTACGTGGTATGTGACCATTGATCTAGCTAATGTAATTTCAATCTCTATGAAAAAGACCAGAAAGAATTCACATTCACTAGTTACAGACAACAGTACAAACTTATAATATTGTTCCATGGCTATATTAACCCTCAGCTTTCCACATAATCTCTTCTGATGGATCTAGAACTGATGGACATCCAGCAGAATGTCCCATGGGTCCAGTATATAACATCGCACTAATCAGACCCAGGTAAGAAACAAGTGGCAAGTGGGTTGGAGGCCTTGGAAAGACACATGCACTTTAGAGAGCGAGACATACATTCTGTAAAGAGTTAAGATACTACCACATTAATACAATTTTTAGAGAACCAGTAGTTTATGGTATCCCAGGGCACTCCTTAAAAATAAAAAACAATTAGCGTGTCCTGCAGCTTTCATCTTAAAGAAGGAAGCACC
Organism: Homo sapiens; assembly: GCF_000001405.40. Classification (NCBI taxonomy): domain Eukaryota; kingdom Metazoa; phylum Chordata; class Mammalia; order Primates; family Hominidae; genus Homo; species Homo sapiens. The sequence goes on from NC_000003.12 coordinate 110,374,943, forward strand.
ATTCCTTCTTTAAGGATGGCCACATTCTGGAAGATTTCTCTGGCTATTATACAGAATGACATGAATAACTGCAAAGTTTTAGTAGCATACTGTGCAGGAAAAAGGCTTTTTAGCAATCCAGGTTTTCAGATTTTGGTGTAAGTGACAATAAGCTTGGGTAATTTAACCTGACAGATCTTTTGGTCTTAGGTATATCTGTGACAGAAAAAGACATTATGTAGGGATTATGTAATGCTTAATGGGAAAATTATAATGTAGTCTGCTGGGACTCCAGAGCAAGGCCATGCTATCTGCAAAGTAGAACTAAACTTAACTTTCAAATAACAGTTCCTGATGTGATACTGGCTCTGCTAGAGATTCATCATAAGATGTCAAATGAATGTGGCTGGAAATGACCAACCGGAGCTGTGTTCTGTCAACCACACCACTGTTTGAGAGCTTATAGCACGGCAAGGGTAGAAGCTGAGAGATTGGTTAAGAGGCTATTATAGCAATTCAGGGAGGTAAAAACTGGTGGTGCTAAGAAGTGCTCAGATTCTGGATATAACTTGAAGACACAGAGCTGACAAAGCATGCTGGTGGATTGGATGTGTGGTGTGATGGAAACAGAGGAACCAGGATGACGAGAAGACTTGGGGCCCAAGCAAAAGGGGGAAAAATGATTGGCCATGTCCTGAAATATCAACGAATGTGAGAGGAGATTTGTGAAGGACCAGGGCAACGGTGGAAAGAAAGTTATTTAAGGCTCAGTTTTAGGCAGGCTAAATTTGAGACACATATTAGACATTCAAGTTGAAATGTCAAATAAGCAGTTGATAAACCAGTGTAGAGTCAAGGGGATAGGTCCGAGCTGGAGAAATAAAGTTGGTATTATTAGCATATAGATGATATTTAAAGCCGTGAGTCTGTATGAGATCATTAAGGGAGGATGCATAGCTAGAAAAAAAGTTCAATGATGGGGTGTTAGAACAGTCTCACATTTAGAGGTCAGGGAGTTGAAGGGGAGCCAGTTCCAGAGCCAAGAGAACAAGGTCAAGAGCAGGAATGAAGACAAAGACAGAATATTTTATCCCAAAACAAGTAAAGAAAGTGTTTCAAGGAGGAACGAAAGATTAACTATGTTGCAAGAGGCTACTAAGTAAGATGATTCTATGTCATTATTTTGTTTCTTCAAATCTGTTTTACTTTGACAATTTTCATTTCCATATTTTCTTATTAGGACCCATTTTACCTCATTTCATCAGTTTTGCATCCTTGTTCACTCTTGTATTCCTCCTGAGCTGTTATGATAGTGCTTCAAATACAGTAGTGAGTGTTTGGCAGCCCATGTCCTCTGAATTATAAGAGCTGTCTTTCTGGTTTGTAAACACAAGCATAAAACCTATCACAATTTGGACTCTGACCTTGTACTTCCTCCAAAGAATTCACAGTTCTTTTTAGACGTTACCTCATTAATCCTAAGGCATCAGTACATAGACATTAAAATTTATTTGGGAGTACATGTGAAGAATTAATTGCATAAAATAGGCCATGTAGAATGTTTAAACTAAATAAAATAAATTTTTCTGTAGACAGTCTTATGTTTTTCATAAGCTCCTATATGCAGTTAGTCATAGAAGTCACACAGAATGGCTAATTGAAATATCAATCCAGATAACTCAACAAGAAAAAGATTTAGAATGTTGTGCCTGATTTAAATAGGCATAGCACAATACCAACATAATCATCATTATCTTCATCAGCATTATCTATGAGAAACCTTAGTCAGTGTCAGCACTGTGCTAAGTACTTAAAATTATTATTTCTATGATAAGAGCCACTATTAAACCAGTGATAGAATTGTCTACTTTAAAATAAGGAGTTCCAGGGTCAAAGACTGTAGGAAACTTGCTGAAGGTTACATAGATAAAAGTGATGGGCATGAAATGTGTATATATAACCTAATAATAATAACAATGATGCCTAAATTTTGCTTTTAAAGGAAGAAGTAAGTTTCTTGCAAATAGTATCATGGAAGTTGAAAAGAGAAATCTAGATGATAGTTTAAGCATACAAAATGGGAAACAGACCAAATACTTGAAATTAAAAGTTGATTCTTTGGAAAAATGACTAAAATTAATAAGTATCAAGCAAAATTAAGCAAGGCAGTAAAGGAAATAGATAAACAAAATGTCTATATTTCTATCTATCTAAGCTAAAAACAAAAAGAAAAATTGCCCAGAGCTAGAAAAGAAAATTAGAGACTAACATCATTTATTAAAATCAATTCAAAAATCTAACACAATAAAAATGGTAAAGCACATGATTAAATATGCACATTTGAATTAGTCCCTTTAATTGATACTGCTTGAGTTAATTTTGTCTTGTTTTCCTATAATTAAGAACATTCTTTTTACCTGCCCCTTCTAAGTATTATTTTGTTATTAATTGCATATGTTTTTTTGATTTGTTTATTATTCCCTTATTCGAGGCAATTCTATAAATTTTATTTCTATAGGAAATAGTGAACTATAGAATAATTTTGAGCAAGAAAATGACTTGACTGCATTTTAGCTTTACCAGGAACATTCTGCCCTTGGCATGCAGAATGCATTCCAGTGGAAGAAAACGTACTAGAAAACCAGTTAGAATGCTTCTGTGAGATAAACAGTAAAGAATACAGGGATGTTTACAATGTGTGTGATTACCAAAATAAGGTAAATGCTGCAGATGTAACTGTTTAGTTAAAACTAAAACTTTCTTCCATAATACAGATATTTGTAAAGGATCTACAAAATAAACTTAATGCCAAAATTAGAGAAATTTATTATGTAAATAGTGTTAACTTTTTGAGTGCTACTAGCAATATAAATTGTGCTTACAATTATTTGGTAAAATTACTAGGTGAATACAGTCAGCTCTGCAAGTAGAAAAATATTGAAGCTCTTTTTTATATGGGTTTAATAATAGTTAATTGTAAAATGTAATTGGAAAAATATACAAAACACCATTTTTTATATTTATATAAATATAAGTAAAATATAAGAACATAAATTAAGTAAATACATAGATATCTTAATAAAATAAAATTGAAAGAAAGTAGAAACCCTGCATAGGTAAAACCACACCATTTCACTGAAAAAATTAAGAAAATTTACTAAGCAGAGATAAGCAGTCTTTTGATGGATAATTTTCTTTAAAAATAGGTGTTTGTGTTAGTGATAGCACAAACAAATGAGATTTTTATGTATAAAATTCTGTTTCCTTTTTATAAATAAATTTCATGTTTATAGTTTGAAAAAATTATTCATTTTATTATAACAGTTATTCATGCATGTTTTAAGTAAATATCTAAATGATATATATTTTAAATATTAAATAATTTTGTTTTGATGACTGCCATGGTCATTAATAACTTTAGTTAGCTTGTAGAACTAAAGATGACTCAGGTCTTGTATGCTGCGTGGAACAGAGTGATTAAAAACATAGGCTTTCGAGTCAGATAAGCCCGAGATCAAATCCTAGTAGTGTCATTAATGAGCTTAATGGCCTTGGGTAATGTTATAGGTCGAAATGTGTCCCCCAAAAAGATACGTTGAAGTGTTAACATCTGGTACCTTTGAATATGGCCTTATTTAGAAATTGGGTTTTTGCAGATGTGAGTAAATGATGATGAAGTCATTAGGGTGGGCCCTAACCCAGTAAGGCCTTAGAAGAGGGGAAGAGGCACAGAGACAAACGGGCAGAGAGCAGAATGCCATATGATGACAGAGCCAGAGACATAAACAATGTGTCTACAAGCCAAGGAATGTTAAGATTGCTAGCAACACCAGAGCTAATAGGAAAACAAATTCTTCCCAGAGCTTCTAGAAAGAGCATGGGCCTACAGGCACCTTGATTTCAGAATTTTATTTAGCCCCCAGAACAGCGAGACAATAAATTTCTTGTTCTCAGTCAGTCAGTTTGTGGTAATTTGTTACAGCAACTCTGTAAAATTAATATAGGTAAGTAACTTAACTTATTCACGTTTTGGGTTTTTCCCTCTTTAAAAGAGACATAGGGCCGGGCGCGGTGGCTCACGCCTGTAATCCCAGCACTTTGGGAGGCTGAGGCGGGCAGATCATGAGGTCAGGAGTTCGAGACCATCCTGGCTACACGGTGAAACCCCGTCTCTACTAAAAATACAAAAAATTAGCTGGGCGTGGTGGCAGGCGCCTGTAATCCCAGCTACTGGGGAGACTGAGGTGGGAGAATGGCATGAACCCAGGAGGTGGAGCTTGCAGTGAGCCCTGAAGGAGCAACTGCACTCCAGTCTGGGCAACAGAGCCAGACTCCTTCTCAAAAAAAAAAAAAAAGAGACATGGTAATGGTCATTCCCATTGAGTATTTAGTATCTCTGTAGTCTGAATTTCCTCATCAGCAAAATAGGAATAATAACATCCTTGTCATAGTGTTGTAAGAATTAAATGAGAATTAATAGTGTAAAACACTTACACCTGTACCTGAAACATAGAAAAAGTTTCATAAGTATTTGTCATTTTATTATTAAATTTGAAAACCCATGCAATGTGCTTAACATAGTGCTTAAAGCATATAGGTTTTTGTTAAATATTATTTATTATTCTGACTAAATAATAAAGTTATGTAAAATACAGGGTGCCTCAAGCAGAGCAAGCTTTCAATAAATGTATGCTATTATAATTACTTTTGAAAATAAAATAATTTATATTTAAGTTACTATTTAAGTTTCTAGTGAAACTAAAAAATTAATCTTTAAAATACTAAAATGATGGTTTAAAACTAAGTACTTCATTCCTTCACGAATTCTGAATTCTGGATGTCTGTTGGTCTAAATTTTAAAAATTTAAGACCATGTAGCAATTTTAGTTATTCTTAACGGAGGCAAACATTGGAATGCCTCAACTACAATTCAAAGGAACACATTTATCTAAAAAGATTTATGAAAAGTTTAAGTGCCAAGAATTGTGCTACCTTAGGGAGGAAATAAAGTAAATATTATACTAGTCACTCCTAAGCTTGTAGTGCATTAAAGAGATAGATATCAAGATGATGGTTAGATTAGAAAATGATGAGTGTCCTGCAGGGCTAAAAAAAGGTGCATTGTGAACACATAGCAGGGGGAGCTAATTTAAAATGGGCAGCAGACAAGTATTTCTAAAAGAGGAGGTATACTACTAGAAAAAAAGTAAGAATATATATCACAGAGATTAATTTCCTAATTTAAAGAATTATTGTAATTATACAAAAGATTGCCCTGCTTTAGGAAATAAACATTAAAGTATTTATGGGAAAAGGTATCATACTGTACCTGAAGCTTACTTTAAACTAGTTCAATAAAGTATTATATCTATACAGTGGTGCACTGCAGAATGATATTTTAGACAACTATGGACTGCATATATGATGGTGGTCCCATAAGCTTATAAATCTATATTTTTAGTGTATGTTTTCTATGTTTAGATATGTTTAGGTACACAAATACTTTATCATCGTGGTATAATTGCTTACTGCAGAATGTACAGTAACATTCTATACAGATCTGTAGCATAGGAGCAATAGGCTACACCATATAGACTAGGTGTGTAGTAGGTTATACCAACTTGGTTTTTGTAAGTACACTCTATAATGTTTGCACAACAAAACCGCCAAAGTACAAATTTCTCAGAAAGTATCTGTCATTAAGCAATGTATGACTTTATATGCATATATAATACATACATACAGTATATAAATACATATATATGCTATATCTCCATATTAAATAAAAAAACAAAAATGGGGGAAAATATTAACAATATAGGGAATCTGGGTAAGGTTGTATGTACTATAATTATTTGTGTTACTTTTATAACTAATATATACATTTGAATTTATGTAAAAAAAGGGGAGAATCATGAATATGTCATAAAAGAATAGAAATTTAATATGAAATAGAGTTGTTCTGCTCTGTCACTTAGATTATTAGTTATTTTTGATGACCAGTTTAAAGCATGGTTTACACAGAATCTAGCCTTCTTAATTTGGGAATAAATGAGAAAACTGGACTACAGATATTTCCTTCGAAAAACTGTCCTCAAACACAATTGGCTTGGAAAGTTATGAGGTTTTTTTTACATTTTTTTCCAAACAGTAGAAAACTTACAAATGCAAATGAAATACAAGGTTTATTTAAATTAATAGTTTCTGAGCCTTATTCCATTTAATTCGTACATAGTCCCTTGGCTTATTACCTTCCACAGCTCCATAGAGATGATCAAGAAAATGTATGCAGGTAAATATTACTATGTTGTTTTAAGGAGCTATAATACTGAAGAGCATTGATTTAAGTCATTTTTATTTCTATAAACAGAGTTGCCTGATAGATTGTTTTGCAAATCTGTTTATTTGTTTTAGGGAAAATTTTTTCTACTAATCTTACAGATACAGTACGGACCACCAGATGCTATTTTTGTTTAATGATTTTCTATTCTTAATAACCTATGTAGTAGGTTTCGAGTTGGAAAGCTGCCAAATTGACTCTAATTTAAATTTTGATTTTACAAATGAATATCTTGGTAAGTATCATAAATCATCCTGTGAAAATATCAATGCATCCAAAGCCACACTAAAACCATTTAAGTCCAAGGAACACTAGGTCATGTGAAATAAAAAGTGTACTCAGTCAGCAGATAAAAGCAAGCTTCAATTATCTTTAGATAAACTCAACTAAACTTTTAAAAGTATGTGCATCAAACATCATACTTCATCTATCCACAAGATAAATGTTTTATCACTGGTGTATATATACTCTCATTTATTAAGAGGTACATTTTGACTAATAAATCTGCCTTTCATAGAGTGCCACTCATGCAAAGTCCTATCTATCATAAACTTAAGTCAAACTTTGCCAATTTATGATACAAGGAAGTGGGCTACTCTGCAGTAGCAGTATATTTAATTGGTGGTGACAGTATTCAGCAAGCCAGGATTCTTTTTTCTCAGCAACAGTGAAACACCTCCATTAAAATAAATTAATACTCTTATCTCAACTGATTTGTTTGGAAAGAGGCATAAGAAAAAGATGGAGCTGTAAATGAATTTTAAAATGTATCAACTGCATTAATTACTATTTTTATTTATTTCTGAGTGTTTTACTACCCTAAAACTTAGTGATATAAAACAACAATCATTCACTTGCTCAGGATACCAGTGATTGGCAACACAGGAAGTGCTCAGAGGGCATGGCTCATCTCTGCTCCTTATACGGTGTCAGCTGGACTCATTCATGCTGTTGTGGGTCATTTGGCAGGTCATCTGGTTGGTCCTGGATGACTTTCATTGCTGGCAACTGGCTGACACTGTCAGCCAGGGTATGTCAATACCATCCACATTCTATCTCCAGCAGGCTACTATGGACTTTTTTAATATAGCATCTGATTTCTAAGAGGACAAGAGAGAAGCTAGACAGCCTCTTGAGTCCTGGACTTAGGAAGCATATCATATTACTCTATTATTCTGTTGGTAAAGCAAGTTACAGGGCCAGCACATATTAAAAGGAGGAGAAATTGACTCCTCCTTTTTATGGGAGTAATTGCAAAGTCAAATCATAAAATGCATATAATAGTAATGAGGGAAATTGTGGCAGTGACATATAAGGACAATAAAGCCATTTCAGGTACAAGGGATCACTAGGCCTTTGGACCTGAAGACCCAAACAAATAAAACAAAACAAAAACCCCCAAACCAAACCAAAACAAACAAAAAAAGTACGGAGAATTCTAATGGACAATTAACCATCTCAACCTCATTTTTCAAACTATATTGTGGACACAGGAATTAGTTACCTGCAGAAGACAATATGCATTGTGTATCAAAGCTTTAATACAAACACATCAGCTCAACAATTGTACTCCCAGAAATAGTTCAAGAAAGTAATTACGGATATGCACAAAGATTTTGCTACAGTTACAATCATTGCAGCATTAATAATGTGAGAAAAATAATTCTACAAACCACTAATAAGTGATGGGTTGCACAGGTTTTTGCAAAGCAATATTAAGATGTAGTTTACTAACTGGAGTAATTATGTTACTCAGGATATTGAATCAGCTATTTCTATGGACAGTCCAAATAACATGAATGATGTGGAAAAAATTTTACAATGTATTATTGAGTGGAAAAAAAGCTGTATATAACAGAAATGTGGTTTTACTTTATATAATCTTATAATTAATATATACTGTATATACTCATATCAATATTAAGTCAACATTGATTATCTCTCTAGATGGACACATTCTTTGTTCTTAGGAACATGGCATTCTTTTAAAAGAAATAAAATCCTTTTTAAAAAGTTATTCTTTTAAAGAAAAGAAGTGAATATATCAAAAGCACATTAAAGCAAAACAGAATTCTAGTGCCCTATCAGCCTCACTTTTATAAAGCAATCCTTTATCTTTGCTGTACTTTGAATTCAGCACAACAGTAATGACTGAGGAACAACCACACTCTATTTTTCTCTGAATCTTTTTTGGTTGGACTATATCACAATAGAAGAAGAAATAAGTTTTGGCTGGTTCAATCTCTTTAACTGAAGCAGATTTCAGAATGTGATTCATCAATTTGGAAATCTAGAATCCAGTTAAATTGGTTCAGGGCTGCTCACTCCTTTCTTGGGCATCTTACTTAATTCCTTTAACATAGGCTCCCATTAATGACTTGCTGCATTTTTGAAAAGACAAAAAAGAGTTAAAATGTATATTTTGGTTTGAAATAGGACAAAAACACTCCAACTCACCCCTAGCTCTGATGTAAACTGGAAAATATCCCTAAGAACTTCATGAAGCAGCAAACTGAGAGAGTTGCCAGGAATGGACAAAAATCTGCTGGTTGAAAAGATCTGATCAGCATTAGAGTAGTGACTTTTCTGGCTGAGTCCTTTAGTATACCTGGTGGCCGAACCCTGTGATATCCATTTACTGGAACATCAGATTTCACTGAAAGGCTGGAAACGTAAACTCATAACAGATTTGTTTCTTTACCAACTGCTTAATTATGGTAACTTCATCATGTTAACAAAATGAATTACATTTGTTATCCCTGCACTTACCAAGGCCTAACAGGTAAATAGCCTATTAACATGTTTTCATTTAACCCTACTATTCCAAGTGGATGTGATTTGACTGTAAATTAGCTGCAGGCATCCACTTGCCCAGCTCAAAATTAATTTTATGTTTAAGTAAAATGGTGGTCTATCAATTTAACCTTTCATAAGCAAAGAAAGACAAATTTGGCTTCTTGTCTGCATTCACTAGTAGGTTTACTTATTTCTTTCTCAAACATTTGTGGAAGCTCCAATTAGTATTTGAAATTTTCTGTGAATTTGTAATGAATGAGTCAAGTTTGCATGGCAACCAGTGGCCAGCTAAGACCCTCAAAAGAGATTTTCTCTGTTCCTGCTGAGAGTGTAATAATAGGGTCAGGTTTATACTTGAATGGTTCTCTCTTTTGAAATAAATTATAGTTGTGCATTTTAGTCAAAAGTTAACTAAAAGAAAATTTGATTTGCCTTTATATGTTGAACAATAACCAATTTGACTTTCACCTGCTAAGATGGTTCAGTATCCTCATTGTACATACTTTGAGATTAATAGTATGAGGAAGACTCAAAGTGTCAACCATGATAGAAGAACCAGCATTATGAAAGTATCTTAGTTTCCACATAAATATCATGGGATAGTGGGAGGAACAGGTATGTGAAGGAATAAATAATTATAAAAATAAGCAAAAGGATGTTTTTCTTAAGTCTGTCAATGTGTCTTGACAATAAAGTATTCATGGAATGTGTCCTGGTGATTACAGATTGGTTTTAAAAATTGCAAAACTTAGAAGTGACGTCCACGGACTGACTCACTCATTTTATACAAAAACAGTATGTTTAAACAAGCATTTCCAAATAACTTAGGATCATGGTTAGTTTGTTTTCTTTTTTATTTTCATATGTGTTGCTAAAATTTGCTCCTCCTTTTAGGCTACATTTTTGGTCCAAATTTTTGCTCTACTTCACGACTCTGTGCATTTGCATGTGGCCTAAATTTTCCCATGAAGATATTGGGATATGATGATATTTTCTCTCTAGATATGCCCTAGATTTAACATCAAAAAGACATTGATTTAACAGGATATAAAAAAAAATTGTATTACCATCTCAATATATGAATAACATTAATTTGATAATAATATTAATTCTAGATATTTTTATGTAGCAAAGTTGGAAGAGAAGGAAATAACAGAACACAGTACCCACTAAAACCCTATAGGGCTGCACAACAATGTGAATATATTTAATGCCATTAAACTGTACACTTAAAGGGTAAGTTTCATGTTATGCATATTTTAGCAGCATAAGAACATTAGATAATTTTCAAAGGTAAGAGTGGGAGGATATAAATACTTACATCAGTAGCATATACTTAGAATTACGTACTAACCTATTTTGAACAGTTTGACAAACATTCGAATACTAATACATGTTTTTAGCATGATATTTTAAAATAACCAAACAAAATCTGTCCTGCCTCTCAAAAATTTTTGCCTATATCCTAGCTCCTAGAACCTATAAATGTTACATTATTTGGGGAAAAAAAGGTCTTTATACATACAATTAAATTAAGAATTTTGAGAGATTGTTCTGGATTATCCAGTGGGCCTTCAATCCAATGACAGGGTTCCTTATAAGAAACACACAGGGGAGATCTGACAGAAATCAGAGAAAAAGGCACTGTGACCATAGAGGCAGAGATTGAAGCAATGCTGCCAAAAGTCAAGGAGGCCTGGAGCTACCAGAAACTAGAAGCAAAAAACAGAATCTCCCCATGGAGCCTTTGAAGAAAGCATTTCTATACACAGATAACAATCCAGCCAAAGAAAAGGAAAGAAAATAATCACATATATGATAGAATAAAACAAATACCTAGGAATACATTTAACCAAGGAGATGAAAGATTTGTACACTGAAATCTATGAAATATTTTTGAAAGAAATTAAAGACACAGATAAACTGAAAATATTCTGTGTTCATCAATGGGAAGAATCCATACTGTTAAAATGTTATACTGCCCAAAGCAATATACAGATTTAACACAATCCTTATCAAAATTCCAATGGAATTCTTCACAGAAATAGAAAAAAATTTTCAAAAATTTATATGAAACCACAGAAAGCCCTGAATAGCCAAGGCAATATTGAGAAAGAAAAACAAAGCTGTAGGTATCATACCTCCTGATTTAAACTTTTATTACAAAGCTATAGTAATCAAAACAGTACGTTACAGGCATACAAATCACACAGACCAACGGAACAAAATAGAGATCTCAGAAATAAATCCAAAAGGATGTGTCAATTAGTTGACACTTATATGCCAAATAATTTTCAACAAAGGCACTAAGAGGATATAATGGGGAAGCAAAGAGACTCTTCAATAAATGGTGTTGGAAAAACTGGATTTCCACATGTAAAGGAATGAAGTTAGACCCTTATCTTACATCATACATGAAAATTAACTCAAAGTGGATAATATAGCTATATGTAAGAACTGAAATTGTAAAACTCCTGAAGTTGAAAACATAGGAGAAAAGCTCCTGGACACTCCCTTGGCAATAATTCTTTTGGATATCACATCAAAATCTCAGGCTACAAAATTAAAACAAATAAATGAGACTCCATGTAACTAAAAAGCTTCAGCACAGCAAAGTGAACAATCAGCAAGATGAAAAGGCAACCAACACATGGGAAAGTATAATTCATACCACATACCTGATAAAGTGTTAATATCCCCAAATTTATAAAGACCCCTTACAACTCAATAGCTGAAAAACAAATAACCCAACTGTAAATTGAGGAAATGACTTGAATAGACATTTCTCCAAAGAGGATATAAATGCCCATCAGATATATGAAAAAGTGCTTAATATCACTAATCAGAAAGGAATTAAAAATCAAAACCACTATGAGATATCACCTCACACCCATAGATTGCTCTTAGAGAAACAACAAGGCCGGGAGCAGTGGCTCATGCCTGTAATCCCAGCACTTTGGGAAGCCAAGGCAGGTGGATCACTTGAGCTGAGGACTTTGAGACCAGCCTAGGTAACATGGGAAAACCCCATCTCTACAAAAAATGTAAAAAGTAGCTGGGCAGCTCACTGTAACGTCCGACTCCTGTGCTCAAGTGATCCTCCCACCTCAGCCTCCAGAGTAGCTGGAACTACAGCTGGACTACTGGAACTGGTAGTCCAGAGTAGCTGGAACTACTCTGGAACTACAGCTACTCTGGAGGCTGAGGTGGGAGGATCACTCGAGCACAGGAGTCGGAGGTTACAGTGAGCTGAGATCGCATCACTGCACTCCAGCCTGGGCAATGCGAGTGGAATCCTGTCTCGAAAAAAAAAAAAAAAAGAAAAAAGAAAGAAAGAACAAGGACAAGACATAACAATGTTGGTGAAAGTATGGAGAAAAGGGAACTCTAGAGCACTGTTGGTGGGAATGTAGATTGGAAGAACCATTATAAAAAAAAAAACACAATGAAGTTTCCTAAAGAAATCTGAAATAGAACTACGGTATGACCCAGCGATCCCTCTCTCCTGGGTATATACTCAAAGGATATGAAATCACCACCTTTAAAGATAGCTACATTCTAATATTCATTGCAACATTATTCACAATAGCTAAAATATGAAAAGAACCTAAGTGTCCATCAACAGAAAAATGAATTTTAAAAAATGTATACACACATACACATACTTGAGCATGCACACACACACACACACACGCAGTGGAATATCATTCAGCCTTATGAAGGAAGGTGATCTTACCATTTGCCACAACATGGATAGACCTGGAGGATGTTATGATAAGTGAAATAAGCCACACAAAGAAAAACTATTGCAAAATCTCACTTATATGTGAAATATATATCTAAAAAAACCTTAAAGGGAAACAAAATCAATTTTACCATAGGCTAATCCATATAATCAAGAGTTAAAGTTCCTACAGCATATTTCTGGTCACAAAATCATCACCACATTTCTAAATAAAGACCCGAAACGCTTCTAATATTAAACAATGAAATAAATGTAAGCTATCCATACCTTTAAGAAAGATTGATAAACACAAGTAAGATAATTATTTACCAATTATTCCAGTTTAGAATCATGGGTAGCTGAAGCCTATCCCGGCAGCTCAGGTGCAAGGTGGGAACTAGCCCTGGACAGAATGCCACTCCGTTGCAGGGCGCCCTCACCCACACACCTATACTCACTCAGATTGGGGCCATTTAGACACACCAGTTAACCTAATGTGCTCATTTTGGGGATGTGGGAGGAAACCAACATACCCAGAGAAAGCCCACGCAGACATGAGAAGAAGGTACTAATTCCACAGACAGTGGCCCCAGCCAGAAACCTTTTTATTTGTCATCCACATTATAGCAAAAATGGCATTAGTTGAGGACCTGCTAAGTATTTTTTAGCTACTTGTTTTATATGTTACACGTGGACCTCCTACAAGCCCAAAAGTTACTGTGGCCTAATACGGTCAGAAAGATACTGTTCAGACAATTTGGTCTAATCACATAATTAAGCATTCAATGTGTTTTTGTTGATTGATTGTAAATTGGAGTCAACTTATTTCAAATTATGTCTGCTTGGGGAGCTGCAGCTGAGATTCAACACCTCAAGTCTTTCAGTTTCCCTATTTAGTAACAACATCGCCTGTGATTTCTATTAGCTAATTAAGTACACTTGAGCCAAAACAAATGTACTCTTTGTTTTAAAGGTATAGCCATGTTGCTTGCTGAGACTCAAAGAATAAAGCCTCTTAAAATTAGGTTGTTTTAGTTTGGAAGCTAATGACCACCAATTAAAAAAAATAACCCATCAAATGATAAGTCCCCATGTTTTGCAAAAATCCTGTTCCTTCCTAGAGATTAAACTTTACAATTTTGTTGTAAACTCTGCATTCTCACCATAATTTATATTACTTCTGTGCTTTTGATGTGTCCTTTGCCAAAGGCTTGATACACAACCATGACAATGTTGTATACCATTAATAAATGTTGGTGAAGTTTGATTGTATGGGTTTTAATTTAATTGAGTTGAATTTTTTATATCAAGCATTCCTCATCAACATAGATGAAAGTATAGAGAAGAGGCAGGAAATAGCTACATGCTCAGAGATCTAACAAGTGCACACAGAGTTGTAGTGTTGTATAACAACTGTGGTTGGGGAAGCACTTGCCACAAATGGCCTGAGATGCTCTGTGGTCTCTTTCTTTATTTCATAAGTCTTCACAGTGTTTTCATCTAGAAAACAGACCATACTATATAGCCAAAATTTCACAACCATTCTTAGCATCAGGGAATGAAAAACTTTAATTATAAGAAAATGATAAAATCAATCAACACCATTTCTGTTTGGAGTATTTTCAATAAAATACCACCTCCAATTCTCTCAAAAGTAATTAAAAGAAAGGTAGAAAAGTACTTGTACCTACTCGAATAACATTTTTCGTGTCACTTTATAAGCTCGTTTCTACATGTTTTTCTGCTTTATGTTTAGATGCAAAATCTTGACTCTTTACAAGTTTACCATTTTAGGGTCTTCTCATTGATGATGAATTCACTTTTGAGGCAGGTCCTTGAAAGAAATGACTAAGATGGGTTATATACATCTTCTATTCCAGAAAGAAAATTTTTTTATGGCTTCTGTTTAGCATTACTTCATTTTTTACTCTCCCACTTCTTCCAGGGCATATATTTAAGCCTATGGTGTGTATTTTTCTTCCATTTTTTAAAAAAACTTTTATTTTAAGTTCAGGGGTACATGTGCAGGTTTGTTGCATGGGTAAACTTGTGTCATGGGGGTTTGCTATGCAGATTATTTCATCAACAGGATAGTAAACCCAGTACCCATTAGTCATTTTTCCTGATCGTCTCCTTCCTCCAACATAGACAGGAATAATACTAAATGAAGCCTATTGGAAGGTGGAGGATGATGTGTATTCTTAAAGCATAGCTAGCATACACAATGTAGGGTGCAAACAGGTTAACATACTGGGCATATAGAACCCCCAACTACACCATGAATTAAAAAAAAGACATTTATTAAGCCTTTTATTCTGAGTTAGCCATTCATGGCAATTAATTGAAAATTTATATGGAAACTTTATATGGAATATGAAATTTTAAAAATGTTATCTTCAAAACTGTGCTAAAATGTTCACTAAAAAGTAATGCTAAAAATCAAAATTAATTTTTGATCCCAATCACTTGGCACAGTGTAGTAGCAAGAATGACTAAGTTGGCTGCACTAAAGGCTATGCCATCTCACACCAGAGTTTTTTTGAGTCTGGTTTCCTCAGATAGAAAATGAAAATACTAAACCTACTTAGCAAGGTTTTTACAAGGTTGTTGCTAGGTGGATGAAGTATTTAATGTTTTAAAAAAAGAGCATAGATGATGTGCAAGAAATCTAATGTTACTAATTAAATTAGAATTAAATAAAAATAAATACTTGCATATTGTTGAGTATACAGAGTAAATGTAGGCAATTCATTCACAGAAATTACCATTGGTAATTTTATGCAAAAGACCACAGTAAGCTCACTCTTCTGAGAATATTTTCCCTTCATAATCTGTTTCTTCTTATATATGTACCACTGTTCTCTTTTACACTCAGTAGGCATGAGGATGACTATTAGGATAGATTTATTGACATACTTTCACATGTTATTTTGTTAATTGACAAATAAAAATTGTACAGATTTATTGTGTACAAAAAAGTCTGTTTCTATAACTAGTCCTTCTCATTAGAACAGTAAACAGCTTACAACTAAGTAACTGAGAGACTCAAGACAAACTAGAGAACATTGATAGTAGGCTTATTATATGCCGGGGACCATTCCAAGTGCTTATTTATATAGCACCTTTCCTTATGAAGCTCATACAAGGGTGTTTACCACAGATCCTGAATATTCCTTAATAATCAGGGACTTGGTGAAACACATTATTTCAATGTTATAATTGAAGATATAGGAGACGAAAAATGGAGAAAGATGCAATAGAATAACGAGATCACAAGCAGAGAAATTTAGATTTGTTCTCTGAATTCATTTGTCTGAGTGCAGAAACAATTCTTACTGTCATTAGTGCCTAGCTGGCATGTGTCAGAGTAGTTACTCAGTGAATACTTGCAAATAAAGATTGCTCGTTAGATCCTAAGGGAAGGTTTATAGACTTACATTTGCATGGAAACAAGTTATATTCATGCAGCAAGCAGCAGTTTAAATTATTTCCTGGGAATTCAAATGTTAAAGACACAGGGGCCCGCTTACACTGTCTGCCTCTCTGCTTGGACTTAGAATAACACAGGAATTGCATACAGTGTGTGTTGAATAAAAGTTCTTGGCTTCTGTATGTATTTGTATTTTCCTAAGGAAATAAAGAATGGCAAGGTGCAAAGATAAAATATTTTTATTTGGGTTTTCCTTAGGTCTTAAGGTCATATTCTTTGGAAACAGTACAAGCTTATAGAGAAAATAGCTCATGTTACCATTAGGAAAAACCATACATAAAAAATACATTAAGGAAAAGACTCTTGCTCATTAACATTAATCCACTCTGACTTACTAACTTAATTCCATTCAAAAAATAAAAGAAAAATCACACCAACAAAGCATGATGGTGGAGGTTTTCTGAACCACATAGAGAACAGTCTTACCTATGGCTATCCTTTCAAAATGTAATAACAAATGTTGAAGTATTGTTGGACTAGTAAAATATGTTACATTTTGGAGCACTAGAAAAGACTAGACTTGGAAAGTGAGTCACAGAAGCAGGCTCTTAATATTTATGTACTTAGTCTGAGGATTTTCACCTGGAGCGTATCACATTAGTTTCTCCAATCATTAGGGAGCCCAACATTTTTCTACTGAATTACTAAAACACATTTTCGTATGCCCTGAATTACAAAAGCTCTCTTCGAAGACTGACATTCAAACAAGTATGCAATTGTGAACCTGTGTTCACAAGTTGAACCCAGGTGGTTTTGTCTGGCGATAATCTAAAAGCATGATCATTTTAACCCTGCAAGCCCTGACATTCTCAGTGCTTGGTGATTCATCTAAATCGAGGGAGAAAATGGAAAGAAGACCTCTTTTTGAAGAAACATTGCTGACATATCAGGAGCAGCCCCACAGGTCAGTTGTAACTTCGCATAGTAGTTATTGTTAAGGAATTATCCACTCTGACTCATTAGCTGAATTCCATTCAAAAAATAAAAGCAAAATGACATCAACAGAGCATGATGGCAGGGGTTTTCTGGACTACGTAAATAGAGAACAGCACTCATGGCAGCTTGCTTCTTTGTCCTTCATCACCACCTGCTCTTGAGGGAGTCTCAGCTAATTTTGATAGTCCTCCTTGTAGAAGGGAACCCTGCCTGTCCTGTTGGATACAAAAGGCAACAATATTCATCCCTGTCCTTGGTCTGGTCTTCTGACTGTGGTCACAGCCCCTAGAGACTCAGCTTAAGATGGACAGTCTCCCTGATGGGATGTTAAAGCCCCTTCTGTCAAGATTTGTGAAGTTTGAATATCATCCCCTAAATTGTGAATATCTAGAATTCTCAAGAGAATATTTTGCCTATCCCTCCGTCATTTTTTAAAGAATGGTTGAAGGATATGTGAGCCTTTTGCCTATTTTTCAACCATGATTTTAAAAATCCAAAAGTAATTGCCCCCAAAAGGCTTAAGTCTCAGCAAGTTCTTTGAAGTCTATGAGCTGATAGATGCAAGTACACATACAGAGAGGAAGCAGTGGTTGAGGTAAAAGAAAACCAGTAACATTTTTCCTAAATACTATATGGTGATTTTTAAAATGTTTACTCTTTCCCCAAAGCAAGATAAAAAAAAAAAAAGCTTGTCATTTGCTTTTTAAAACTAACAGAGCAGAAAAGACACTCTGCCATGAAAAGTAGAATTACTCAGTAGGAAGAATTAATAAGAACATATAGAGTGAATAAAATTTGGTTACCCCATATGCCATATGCACCCCCCCCACACACACACAAACAGACACAGACACACATACACAAGCAAACATATTTATAACAAAATAAATAAGAAATACTCATAACATTATAGTTCTTATTTCTACAATGGGTCAAATGTTTATAGCTTATACTTATAACTAGGTTCTTCCACTACCAGGTCTATATTATCTTTGCCCTCAGCAAGTACCTCAGCTGGCTGTGTTTCTTTGCCTATTGGGTGACCCAACTCTTTATTTTTTGAGGGTCTGGGCCATTTAGCAGGCCTGTCTGAAAAAGACTGTGGTAATGTTTTATTGACTTTAATCATAGGACACAGTAGTAGTCAAAGACACCCTAAGTGATTTCCTGTATACCAGACATACTCTTCCTTACCATTATTGTGTATTAGCAGCACAACTTCTCCTTGGTAGTCAGGATCAATTATCTCAACAAGCAGAGTAACTCCCTTCTTTATCTATAGATTCAGAGACATGAGGAGCCCGAAGAAGCAAGGTAGCATTCTTAATTTCCAGTTCAATAAAATTATTGTTGTGTCTCCTGGGAGAGGCATTCTTTCCTTTAGTAGTAAGACCTCTAGACCACCAGAGCATAAGATCATGCGGGAAAAATAAAAAATTTACTAGTGTATCAATAAGTGTAATAGTGAGTGGCGCTACTCCTATTCCACCTCTTCATTCCTGATCTTTTGTATCTTGGCTATAGGAGAAAAAGCATCATATATTAGACTCTGATTTAGACCACACACAGCTTTCTGGAGCACGTTGTCCCAGTCAAGTAAGTATTGACATAAAGCTAGCATTAAAATTGAGTCTTCATAAGGCCATTCCAAAATTTTATCGGCAGTTTCTTCAGGATAATGGGGAACATGGTAAGGACAGTGAATTCCACTAGCACAGCCCATTGCCATGCTTCATTCGCTGTGTAGTTAGTTTTGTGATCAAAAGCAATGCTGTGTGGAATACCATGACGGTAGATAAGGCATCCAATAAATGTACAGATGGTAGTTTTGGCAGAGGCATTGCATGCAGAGAAAGCAAATCCATATCCAGAGTGTCTATGCCAATAAGAACCAAGTATTTCTCCTTTCATGATGGAAGTCATCCAATGTAATCCACCTGCTCCCAGCTGGCTGGTTAATCACACCAGAGGATGGTGCATTATCAGGAGCTCAGTACTGATCTCTGCATCTGGCAGATTGGGCACTCAGCAGTGTCTCTAGCCAGATCAGCCTTGGTGGGTGGAAGTCTATGTTGCTGAGCCCATGCATGACCTCCATCCCTGCATCTCATATATCCTGCCAACCCATGGCTACATTGTTCACGAACCCAATGGGTCATCTTATCCTCTTGATTATTAAAATCTTCCTCTGCAGAGATTACACTTTAGTAAGCATTCACATGGGACTCAAATGTCTTCATATTCTTTGCCCATTCAGAGAGGTCTATCCACATCCTCTTCCACAGACCTCTTTGTCACCATTTTTTTTTCATCACATTGCTTCTAAGTCCCTTGCCATCCAGCCAAATCATTGGCCACAGCTCACAAATCAGAATGTATTTGTACTTCTGTGTATTTCTCCTTCCATGTGAAATGAACAACAAAGTGCACTGTTCAAGTTTTGCTTACTGGGAGAATTTCACTCCACCATTGCTCCAAAAAGAGCCTGTAGTGCTATAGCTGTCCACTTTCAGACAGTGCCCACATGTTGTGTAGAACCGTATGTAAGGTGTTTCTTTTTTCCTCAGTCAATTGATAGTAAATAACTCCCCATGAAGCCAGACAACTGGGCTGGGAAAAAATAAATGTGCCATAAATAGGATCCATGAACATTTGAGCCACTTTCTCATATACAGGAATAATTCAGAGATATTAATGTTTCTGTTCCAACCTCTGTAACAAAGCAAATTCACAGTAAAGCAAGTCACACATATTTTTTTTTGTTTCCCAATGCATATAAAAGTTATGTTACACTATATGGTAGCCTATTGAGTGTAAAATGATACCATGTCTAAAAATTGTGCGTATCTTAAGAAAGCATTATTCACCCCAAAAATTGTAACAATAATCTGAGCCTTCAGCAACTCATAATCCTTTACAGGTGAAAGGTGTTGCCTCAATGTTGATGTCTGCTAACTGATGAGGGGAGTGATTGCTGAAGGGTGGGATGGCTATTGCAATTTATTAAATTAAGACAATAGAGTTCAGTGGATCAATTGACTCTTTCGTGAAAGATTTCTATGTAGCATTTGATGCTGTTGATTACATTTTATCCATAATAGAACTTTCTCCAAAATTGGAGTCAAATCTCTGAAGCCCTGCCACTGCTTTTTTAGCCAAGGTTGTGTAATATTCTAAATACTTGGTTGTCATTTCAACAATGTTCAAAGCATCTTTACCAGGCATATATTCCATCTCAAGAAACCGCTTTCTTTGCTCATCCATAAAAAGCAACTTCTTATCTATTCAAGTTTTATTATGAGATTGCAGAAGTTCAGTCACATCTTCAGGCTCCACTTCTAATTCTATTTACCTTTTTATTTCTACATCTGCAGTTGCTTCTTCCACTAAAGTTTTGAACCCTTCAAAGTCATCCATGAGGATTGGAATCAACTTCTTCCAAAGTCCTGTTAATATTGATATTTTAACCTCTTCTCATGAGTCAGAAATGTTCTTGGTAGCATCAAGAATGGTGAATCCTTTCTTTCCAGGAAGCTTTCACCCACCTTGCCCACATTCATCAAAAGAATCTATCTATGGCAACTATAGCCTTATGAAATGTATTATGTAAATAATAATACCTGAAACTTGATCATTTCTAGCTTTTGGTTTAAGGTGAGAGATGTGCTACTCTCCTTTTCCCTTGAACACTTAGAAGCCATTATAAGGTTATTGATCTAATTTCAATATTGTTGTGTCTCAGAAAATAGGGAGACCACAAGATAGGGAGAGACATGGAAAATGACCAGTTGATAGATCAGTTTAAACACATACAATATTTATCAATTAATTTCCCCATCCTATATGGTTGTGGTTCACAATACCCCAAAACATTTACAGTAGTGACATGAAAGATCACTAACCACAAGTCGCCATGAGAATATAATATTAATGAGAAGTGTGAAATGGTGTGAGAATTACCAAAATGTGACACAGAGACATGAAATGAGTACATGGTGCCATTAGACTTGTTCAGCTCTAGGTTGCCACAAATCATCAATTTGCAAAAAATGCAATATCTGCAAAGTACACTACAGAGCCTACCAAAAGCTTCATAAAGCACCTCTATAAACCACTGACACTTCAAGAACGATAAGATCTATTGGATCCTTTGGGTCAAGTGGCCAAAGAGGCCACTTTGGCTCAAGCGGCCCAGCAGTTTGTATAGCAGTCTGGAGATGTTGCAGAGCCTTCTCTTGGTCTGGGGCACACTCAAAACTAACAGTTTTTTAGGACATTTTGTAAGTAGGCCAGAGTAGTGCACCCAAAAGAGGAATCTGTTGCCTCTGAAATCCAGAAAGGTCCATTTGACATGATAAGTTGTATGTTAGATGAGATATCTCATCATGCTCTACACAATTGTACTTTCTAGGCATTGCACTGAGATGGGAGACCTCAGAATATTTGTTTATATTTTATCTTCTGACATGCAAATGTCTTATAAATATACTACAGTAGTTTCTACTGTCCAATTAACATAACAATGTAATGAATAATTATGATGTCATGTGAAAAGGAAAGATAACCGAGGTTTGTGCAGACTACACTATGACATACGAAAAAGTTAATTTATCTGTAAGTTAGGACAATGAAGGTGTGTTTTTGGTCTTGCCAGGTGATAACAAACTGATTCTGGTGATCTTTACTGAGAGATGTTTTTTAAATTCACTTTCCAGATCAGTAGCTGCAAACCGATTACTAGGGGGTGTATTAATTTACTTCAGCAGTGAAACCACATCTGGAAAAGCAGCTGCAGTTTAAGTCATAATTCAATTAAGTTTACAATAATTCATGGTCATTCTCCAAGCTCTATCTGCCTCCTGCACAAACCAAATTGGTAAGGGGGAATATGGTGGAAATCACCACCTGTGCATATTTCAGATCCTTGATGATGGCACTAATTTCTGCAATCCCTCTAGCAATGCAGTATTGCCTCTGGCTAAATATTCTTCCAAATAAAGGCGATTCTATTGGCTTCCATTTGGCCTTTTCTACCATAATATCCCTCACTCCAAAGGTCAGGGAAACTATGTGGGAACTCTGCCAGATGCTAAGAATGTCTGTTCCAATTATTTACTCTGGAACTTGGGAGTAGGTTCAAGGACATATTAGATCCATTATGAGATTGACTGAGCTAAAACTCCTTTGATCAAGAGACATACATAAGACCTTACTCTGACTAGTGTAACACAAGTGATATTCTTGGTCTCCAATCATCTCTGAAAACTATGATTATTTCATTTCCCTCACTGCACTGTCACCCTGGTAAAAGGCTGTAGATCCATTTGGGGGAAGACAGAAGAAATATTAACCGTGTAAAATTTTGGCAGAAAAGCAGGGTTTTTCCTGAAGGGGACTCAGCCTCCCCTTTATTCAAGGAGTTCTAGGCTCAAGTCTGGGAATGGACTGAGGGGCTATGACTCTCTTTTATGATTTAAATTAGGCCTCTGTTCACTTGACCTAGAGCTCTTCTGCTTACACAAATCACATAAGAAAAATTTAGTAGAATACTCACCGATTTCACTTCTAGGGATTCCATGATCAGCTAGGAAATGCCATAGGTCTCCGCATATCAGAAAATTCTGATCTCTGCTTAGAGTCTGTTGTCCATTAATGGAAGCATGTCTTCCTTGTGTGTGGTGATGAAGTGCTGCTACATAGTCCGTGCTACTCTAATAGGAGTAATTAAGGATTTAATTTCTCATATTGTATTTGGGTTTCCAGGTTAGAAGAAGCAGTCTCCACTCTAATTTCTTAGCTACAGAGAAGAGCAACCACAGAGCTCTTCAAGAATGCTACAACTCTTCTCACACATTTATTTCTTACTATTGTCATGAAAGATAAGTCCACTGGGCCCTCCCAGAGTGAGCAGATATCACACGATAAATCCTTAATCTCTCTATCTTTTGGATCTCTTTTTCTACAGTATACCAGGGCAGTTCTGGTATTTCAACTTAGTTTAGTATAGACCACATTTTGATCCATGTTCTGCCCACCAAACAAGCTGTTAGAGCCTCCAAACTCTTTGAGCAGAAACATGACATCTAGAATTTCTGCACAGTAAAGTCTTAACCCATTTTGACCTGATTCAACTTTATATTCCTTCCACCATTATTTCACACCTTTAATGTCCATTTGCAAACATACATATGAACAGAAAAAAAAGAAAGAATATACTTCACCCCACTTCCCATGTTTCTGCTTTATCCACAGGAAAGATGGAGTAATAAAGTATAAAGATAAGAGCTTCAACAACAGTTTGAAACTTTCCCACAGGTGAACAAGTAAATTCTTTTTTCAGAGAAGATGTAGTTAATTATTGGTAATTGAGTGAGAATTTCACAATATCAGTAATTCTCTATAACCAAAAGCAAACATAAGGACTGTTATCAAGTATTTTTGTTAATGTAGTTATGTTTTATAAAGTGTTTTTCTTTTAAAATTATAAACTAAGAAGAGTTTGATTAATGGTTGTGAATAGTCAAGATACAGAAACTTTTATCTTAGTAAAACTGGTTAAATAAAGTAAAATTGTTTCTGAGAATAAAGTCTGTAAGAAATTTAGCAGCAATGATAACAGTTGTTTTTACTACTAGTAAGTATTTTTTGAATTTTTATTATATTCCTGACATTTTGCTAAGCACCTTGTATTATCACCTTAATTTCATTTCAAAAGCAACTTTAAATGCTATTTTATTATCCCTATTATATTGAGGCTTCAGAAGTTTAAGTAACTGGGCCAAGGTCAGAAAACTTGTAGAGGCCAGGAAAAGCTTGCTGAATTTAAAAGTCAAGTTTATTCCCCCACGGAAGTACTCCATCTTATTAGTTGAATGACAGCATGTATTTAAACTATTTCTTGCTAGGTGCATTTTTTAAGATAACATGGTTAAAGTTCTAAAACACACAGAAATTCGTCTACATAGCATGTCCAATTATTTTGCCAATTTTTAAACAATTCAAACTCTTTAACCTTTAACGGTCTTTGTTTAGCCAATTTATCTAATTTGCTTAAGCCACCTAATTTGTATTATTTTCCACATAGCACTTATCCCCAGTCCTGGCTTCGTGGGCTTGCAATCTGTACAGTCACATTGAGTCCGACGCTTCAAAGGACCTCACACTTGGTTACTGTTCAACTGTTGCTGTCTTGAAATTTTCAGTATTATTTGAAAAAGGTCTCTGCATTTTCATTTTTTTACTGGTATAACAAATTATGTATCTGGTCCTACTTGTTTCCATCTTATTTACTCTACTATATTTATCTTTTGTCTTCCCTACTAAAATGGAATCTCCACAAGAGTAGAGATTTTGTCTATGTTGTTTACAAAGTAGATAGAGGCATTACAAACATGTTTCTTTAATTTTCCACATGGCATCATCACTTATTCATATCTGAATAAAACCATACCTTTGAGAATAAGCAGCCCATCCTAAAGAATAAATATTCATCTAAAGTTATATAATATTTAAGAGAAGTATCAAAGAGGACATAAACATTATCTCCAAGATTGGCCTTGTACTTCCAAACTTATTAAGTAAGGTAAATGTCACAGTGTGTCTTGATAAAATAATGCCAACCTTTTGCATTTAATGTCAATATCAGAATTATAATTTCTTGGTGAATAAATCCCATCTGGAATTTCATAAACAAGTCGCTGATATTTTGTTGACCTTTTCCCAGTCCTCCTTCAGATCCATCTTGTCACTTCAATCTCTACTTTAACAGAAAAAAAAAAAAAAAACCAGGAAGGATAAAAGAAAATGGAGAAATTAGGCAACATAAAATAAATCATATCTGTTATCATTCTTCAGATTAAATCTTGACACTGATATTTTACCACAACCATCAACACCAGTTTGCCAATTTTATGTAAATGTGTTCAGGTCCTCCTTCATCATATAAAAACAAGTTAGTTTTATCTATTGTTTTGAAAAATTATAATAATCTATAATATAACTTTTCACTGAAAGAAATTCTTTATCATGTATCTCAGAGTGGATCTCTAAGTTCATCCTACTGGAAATTCATTGAGCTTCTTGGATGTGTACACTAATGATTTTTATTATTTCTTCAATCATTCTTTCTGCCCCTTTCTCTCTCTCCTCTTCTTTTTGGATTTCCATTACGCATGTGATGGTATGTTTGGTGATATAAGTCTATGAGGCTGTGTTCACTTCTTTTCATTCTTTTTTTTTCTTTTCATTCCTCAAACTAGATAATCTCAATTGATTATTCTCAGGTCCACTGATTCTTAAGCCTGCTAAAATCTGCTGTTGAGCCCCTCTAGTGAATTATTTATTTCAGGTACTGCAGTTTTTAACTTCAGAATTTCTATTTGGCTCTTTTTATAACTCCTATATTTTTGTTAATATTTGGCATTTTGTGAGACATTATTTTCGTATTTTTATTTAGTTTAGACATGGCTTTCTTTAGTTGTTTGAACATAATTAAAATAGCTGATGTAAGGTCATTGGGAAGTCCACCTAGATTTCACCATAAACAGTTTCTGTTGATTTCTTTGTTTTCTGTGTATACACTATACTTTCTTATTTCTTTGCGTGTCTCATAATTTTCTGTTGAAAACTAGACATTTCAAATAATAAAATGTGGTAATTCTGGAAATCAGATTCTCTCATCTCCCCACAGTTTGTTTTTGTTGCTCTTTGTTATGTGTGTTGTTATTTGCTTATTGACTCTTCTGACCTAATTCTGTGAAGTCTGTATTTTTTCATGTGTGATCACTGAAATCTTTGCTCAGTTAGTTCAATCACCAGCTAATGATTAGGTAGAGATTTTCTTAGATAACTTGGACCAATAAGTCTCTGACTTTGCTGAAGAGCTCTGTATATATGTTGAGACAAGCACTTAACCCTCAGGCAATCAGATTTTATTTTCTGCTTGCATAGAGCCTTAGAGTCAGTCAGAGATTAAAGATTAGGGTATTTTCAGGTCTTTTTCAAGCATGTGCACAGCCCTGAGCATGAACACAGCCCAACACGTGAATGTGGCTTTTTAGATTCCCAGTAATATGTCAGGACGTTTTAAAGCGCCCTATGGACATCTTATTTCTCAGTTTTTTCTTTTGCAATTAATCTAAAGCAAAAATTCACTTTTTTTTGGTTTGGTTTGTTTTTTCAATAAACACCCATACGAAAATAATATTTACACTGGATAAGGATTTAAAAAACAAATCACAAAAAATATAGAATATTATTTCCCTGTTTATGACTCTATTCATTCCTTAAGAACTCCAGCCCTTTTCAAACTTTTGTTAAGCAATTCTGTGATATGCCTCCACAGCCTCCTGTAACAATTCTGGAGATGAGAAAGTAGCTACAATGCCCAGGGAAGCTGCCATCTCCACTGCTCCTTAGTTCCAGGCAGAACAGGTATGTCTGATTATATTTCTCAAAGAGCATGTCCAAGAGAGATGTGCCCTTGACTCTCCATACCCAGTAGGAACTACATTCTGTAATATGTTTTAGCAGTCTTCAAAATGGGTGATTCATACCCATTTAATAAAACAAATTTTCAGCTTCTAAATTTACTCTAGTGCTTTCACCACGCATCTGCAGATAATGAAGTATTTTCTTTTCTATCCCACACTCCCTTTCATAATCACTCTTCTTCCATTGTATTAAAGAAACGTATGCCTGTCACTCATTCTATATATTACTATGACTACTCCAGGGTATAAAATTCTTTGGGTATTACATGAAGAAATAATTCAAATTATCAGTGGCAGTCAAATATCTTTTAATTAAGGCACTATAGCATTTAATGTCTTTCGAAATCTTATTCATATTTATGTTTAAGGTGGCAATGTGTTATTAGATAGTGTGTATTACGGCCCATGCTGGTTCACTATAAATTAAGGGAAACTGTAGAGTAGGCAGCATGAGTAATTTTTATTTAACAGTCTTGAACTATTGGTGAAGAATTGAGGAAGCAAATGAGGAAAGCTTGGTGAGTACTCACACATCCTTGTCTGAGTTGTGTCTGCAACTCCGAAGTGTATTTAAAGTACATGTTAAGATAGAATCATGTTATCAGAAAATTATTGGAAAATATATATTTAAATTGAATATTATTTTAATTTGCAAAAGTTTATAAAATATCATATTTTAAAAAGGCATCTCTAAGTGAAACAGTATAAAGCACCTAAGTAGTCATTTGACAATTCTTAGTAACATTATTTTAGTTTATTTCCAGAAATCTAATGACTGGGTAACGAATCATTCTGCAAATTAGATTGTTTCCAGTTCTTTGCTGTTGAAAAAAGTTGCAGAAAGCCTTAATTGATGGATATGTGGTGGATTACTAAAGATGAGTTTTGATGCTGGATCACAGTATAATTTTTAACACATAACATAAAAGGAGGTTTAAGAACTGAGGTGCACTGTGATTATAACACACCTTTAGTTCCCAATTATTTATATGAACAAGTTTTCATACATGTATATAGAAAAATTGGAATAAATTTGATATTAAAGTATGTCTCAACATAATAGTCATTAATTCATATACAAATGAACTACTAATAATACATGCCTTTCCATATTTTAATGTACAATGTTATTCTCATCAAAGCTTGAATTATATGCTATTTTGATAAATTCTGCACTAATAATAATTATAACAAAACTCAATCCAAAAGAAAATAACAGAAACTTATAACTACTAGATATTTCAAAACTTAAGATTAATTAACACAAAAAATCTTCCTACAGAGTACCATTGGATAATGAACAATATTCTCAAATGTAAATATACTACTTAGACATACCATTTTATTAGGACATAAAATGGAAATAGTAGTCCTAAAAGAGGGGGAAGACAGTTCTGTTTGATTAAGGAAAGCTAGTTTATGTAATTTTAAACAAATGAAGGGTGATATGACTTTGCTAAGTATTTTGATGACATAGAATCTATTTTAAAAAGCAACATAAAGTTTTATTTTAAAAACTTCAGGCTGGGCGTGGTGGCTCACGCCTGTAACCCCAGCATTTTGAGAGGCCAAGGCAGGCAGATCACGAGGTCAGGAGTTTGAGACCAGCCTGGCCAATATGGTGAAATCCCGTCTCTACTAGAAATACAAAAATTAACCAGGCATGGTGGCTTGCGAGTGTAGTCCCAGCTACTTGGGAGGCTGAGGCAGAAGAATTGCTTGAACCAGGGAGGCGGAGGGTTCAGTGAGCTGAGATTGTGCCACTGCACTCCAGTCTGGGCAACAGAGTGAGACTCTGTCTCAAAACAAACAAACAAACAAACAAAAATTCAATAATTACAGCGTGTTGGATATTACAGCATTTGGAATGATATAAATTTACAATGAAAATGTTTACAAGTCAAGTTATAAATTTGCAGGAAGTTATATAACTTTTCAAAATTCTTTTGTAGTTAGGGAAGCATAGATTTTGGAGATCATTGGCCCAGTTTACAAAGGATTATTGCCTCATACTCTCTGTCTAAAGTTAATTTACTGAAGCTAGTCTCAACTCGTTCCTCCCCCATTTGTCTATTCTTTCCAAATTTATTCAGAATCAATAGTGATCAATTAGTTACTAATCCATATTATTATAAAATATTTTTGAAAATGATAAACTTTCTTGGTTCTTGCTATCTACTCATTGACTATGCAAGACAATATGATTTGCATAATTTGTAATTTAGAATGACCTGTGGAGAGTTTTTGAATAGCACAGTGCCATATGTCATGGAATTACCTAAGGAAAGCCAAGCAGATGCATCTCCTTCTTTAGCCCCTTATGGTACTGAAGAGAAGTACAAAAGATTGTTTTATACATTGGGCACATCTGTCAATGACAACTTCTGGAAACAAGATGCATTTTTAGTGATAAGCTTGTGTAATTTTGTATTAGTAGCAGCATTAGCAGTATTGTTATTATTAACAACCAGTACAAATTCTGAGCTAAGCACATTAATACATTTCTCATTTAATACTCTCATAATCATAGGAATTAGCTAATATATTTTAACATCAGATCAACTGATAACAGGGAAAAAACCTCAGAGGTATTGAGTAATGTTCACAATTTTACATCTCTAGGAAAGGGTAGAGTTGGGATTTGAACACTCAAAACTGCCTGATGCCTAAATCCTATTATATTGCCTACTGGGGAAGCCATACATAATGTTAGACCTTGGAAAACACAATTTACGTCACTTATAGTGTTGACTTGGACCAATGGTTTTGTCTAGACAGTATTAAAATGTATATTTTTGTGTTATAATAAAATGGTACCTTGAAAGAAACCAAACAGAAGTTACAGTTGTCAGCACATTTATGCTAAAAAATAAACAACCTAAGCCATATTTTCTTGCCCTTGCCATGATAAAAGAAAATTTTGAGTTCTGTGCAAAGGAAAAATGCCAACAAAACATGCTCTGGGTAGAAACTACCTGGTTAGAAAACTTGATTTACGGCATATATAAAATAAGCGCTGAAGCAGGTATTGCTATTTGACATCAGAAGCTAATGCTGAAAAATATCTACCGAATTTCATGGTTTTCTTTATTGAAAGTTATAGACTCAGATTCCTAGATAAAGAGCTCGCTTTGGTAATGTTGTTAGTCTTTTCACTGAAAAACGGATCAGGAAGCCACTGTACTGGTTTAATATAGAATCACCTCCTGTAAGAGGTAGGAGGTCAGATACTTTTAGACACTGTTGAGAAGATAATAGCTCATAATTAAGAATAGGAAGCTTCTGCGTGGAATAATAGAATGTTAGAGATAAAAGGAACTTTGGAGAATCTTAATTTCAAATGCCTTTATTTACTTATTAGAAAACTGAGGTCTAGTGAATCCAAATTTTTAGTAAAAGCTTACACTGCTAGTTGCATCAAGGCTAGTCTTGAAATATTAGTTATTTCTCTAATAAATATAATTTCAGATAACCATTACTAATTGTGGGAGAGCAGAATGCTTCTTTTTGCACTAGAAATTCTAATTTTCAATGAGCTCCTAATTTCAAGTTGAATTCTTGTCTACCACTTCTTGGTTCCTTCTACACGCATGGGAGAGCGGTAAGACAGACGATGCCTATAAGCTACGTCTCTCCACTTAATCTTCTAATTTTTGAAATTTTCTAATTACATCAAAAGGTACTATATTATCAGCCTGCCATGTACATATCAATTTAAAATCCTTTCACTTCCCCTAACAAGCAAGCAGTATTGTGAACTAGTAGAGATTATAGGGGCCAGGCAGCTGATGACTGTGAGTGAAACTGTGAGGCTGGTTAGGGGAAGAAAGAAGTATGGACAACTGAGACCCAGTGCCTCTTCTAAAAGGGGCCGTAGCTACTGGGCTGTAGCCAGTTTTCACAATATGGAAGTGTAACCCTAGTGTTGCCAGTTATTTCAACATTTCACAAAAATCCAAAAATCCAAATTTCATCTTGAAATCTCCCAATATTTAAATATTGAAAACAAATTTAAAAATTTAACCAGCTGTATTAAAATGATAGCTTTTTGTATATCAATCATACCTCAGCAAAGTGGTTTTATTTTTTTGTGTGTTTGTTTAAACTCTAGTCCAAACAGAACATATCTATCTATAAAGAGAATGTGGGTCACAGGCCCCCAATACATGAATGGAGGCATTTAGCCATGCCAGACTCTGTGCCAGGAATTCTATTTCCAACAGTGAGATTTGAAGCTAGTACCCAATGTACATGGCTGACTGGAACTTACCTGTAACCCTGATGTGTTTGGTCACTTTAAAACTGCTTTTGATTTATGATTAACTCTGTAATCAGAGGTTCTGACAATCCTTTTGCAAGCATCTTCTCCTGGAAAGGTTGGATCATATTTACATATAGCCCAAGCTACTCAGTGAAAAGACATGCTCCAAGTTAAACTCATTACCTACAACTAGCAGTCACTGTTACCTATTTTTCTCTGACTACTCCTGCTTACTAAAAACTTATGCTACCTTCCAGCACCCTCCAAAGTAGACTGCCTTGAAATTGGCATTGGCTTGAATCAAACCCCCATGTGTAAATTCTGTTAGTAGAGTACTGTGAAGTACTGATTGCCTGTATTCAATAAACTCTGGCCCAGATCCCCAGCAACTTCAGTATGTTCAACATCACAACAGTCCTTGGCTTATATCCTAATTCCCTGACTATGGAAAATTTTAGAAATTGGTTGAACGAATTTAGGTACTATGCCAAGACCTCTCAAGAGCAAAGAAACTTGGAATTTGCATGTTTTGATCATACTTTATGGACTTGGTATTTTATTCATTATTCCATTTAATCCTTACAATAGTCCTGTGAGTGGTAGCCCAATTTTACAGAAGAGCAACTCAGGGTCCAGCAAGGATATGCAATTGCTCAAATCTATCAAACTTCAAAACCAAGAATCTGATTCCAATCCTCTATGTTTATGATAATAATTTGTTTTTGACTGAAGGAATTATTTTTAACACAGAATTTTTTAAAAATCCAGAAAGCAAATTAAATTAAAGTTATCTATAAGTTTGCTAACCAGAAATGACCATCTTACTTATTTTATAATCTTTAATTAAAAAATTTTTTTTTATTTTATAATATTGGGCTATTACTGCATACTTTTAATTTAACAATATCTAAAAATATTTTCTCATCGTTAAGTAGTCTTCTAAATGTCCTTTTAAATACCAACTGTATATATATATATGTAATTTATTAACTCGCTCCCCTATTGTTAGTCATTTAAGTAACTGTTTTATTCTATTATAAACAATTTTGCAATGAACATAATTGATGTTAAATCTTTGAACCAATCATCCACGATGTCACGAGTGAGTCAAAGCAAAGGCACCAATTTAAGATTTGCTCCCCAAAAAGTTTGGATAAGCTAGGTTGTTTGGGTTTGAATGCAAACTTCACCACTACTGCCTGATTTTGGACAGGTTACTTAGATTCTCTGTGACTTAGTTTT
The DNA here is from genome assembly GCF_000001405.40 of Homo sapiens. Taxonomy (NCBI): domain Eukaryota; kingdom Metazoa; phylum Chordata; class Mammalia; order Primates; family Hominidae; genus Homo; species Homo sapiens. The sequence goes on from NC_000003.12 coordinate 110,407,202, forward strand.
CTCATCTGTAAGATAAGTAAGATAATAATATAACATACTGGTTGCATTATTACCTAACTCATTAATTATATTATTGTCACTCAGTTAACTCATTAGTTCATTGTAAGGACTAATAATTAACACTGTAATGTACTTTGGATATGCCTGACACAATTATAAGCACTCAATAGGCATTTGATAGTATTACCACATGACATTTATCTGCCATTTGTGTTTCTTCTTCTGAGAAATACATCTTTATATTGTGGTATTCTTTTCTCATGGAGGATGTGTTTTTCTTATATATGATCATTAAGAGCTTTTTAAATTTTATGGATATTTATCACTTGTAATATATCTTGAAAATATTTTTCCCTGGCATGTCATCTGGATTCCAGTGTTGTTTATAGTGATTTTTTACATTCATACATTTATTCCTTTAATGCCGACTGCTCTATCATACATTTTTTAATGCATACAACTTGATGAATTTATAGATAAGTATACACTTGTGAAACTGTCACAATTCACAAACGTGTCCATCACCTCCCACTTTCTTCTTCTTATTTGTGTGTGTAAGAGCATTTAACACAAGATCTACCCTCTTAGCAAATTTTAAAGTATATAATACATTGTGAACTACAGGTAACATGCTGCGCAGTAAATCTCTAGGATTTATTCTTCTTGACTAACAGAAACTTCGCACATACTCTTCAACAAATACCTTCCTATGTCTCCATCCCTCCACCCTCAGCCACCACTATTTCATTCTCAGTTTCTATGAGTTTAACTATTTTATATTCATCATATAAGTACTATGATGCAGTATTTGTTCTTCAGTGTATGGCTTGGAATAGTACCCTCTAGTTTTGTTCATGTCATTGTAAATGGTATTATTTTTAAAAAGCTGAATAATATTCCGTTGTGTGTGCAGACATGCACACATACATGCACAATAAAATATATATTGTGTGATATATATGTCATATATATATAATCTCACATTTTTGATCCAATTTTCCACTGATAAACATTTGTGTTGCTTCAATGTCTAGGCTATTGTGGACAATGCAGTCATGAACATGGGAGTGTAGACATCTTTTCAAATTTTAAACTTCAATTCTTTAGAATATATATCTAGAACTTGGATTGCTGGATCACATAATAGCTCTATTTTTTATTTTTTGAAGGACTTCCATACTATTTTTATAGTTGCTGCACTAATTTATATATTCACCAACAGTATACAAAAGTTCCATTTTCTCTCTATCATCACCAACATTTGCTATCATTTGCTTTTTGATAATATCAATTTTAACAGGTGTAAGGCATTAACTCATTGTGGTTTTGGTTTGCATTTCTGTGATCATTAGTGATGTCAAGTACCTTTTCATATACCTGTTGGCCATTTGTCATTTGTATGTCTTACTTGGAGAAATATATGTTCAAGTCCTTTAGCCATTTTAATTGACCTTTGACAACTTAATAATATTAAGTCTTTCAATCCATGAACATAGGATATATTTTTATTATTTGTGACTGCTTTTATTTCTTTATCAGTACTTTGTAGTTATTGTATAAGTCGTTCACCTCCTTGGTTAATTCCTAAGTATTTTATTCTTTTTGATGCTTTTACTAATGGAATTACAAATTTTCTTAATTTTGTTTTCAGATTTTTTTATTGTTAGTGTACAGATATACAATTGATTTTTGCGTGTTGACTTTGTCACTACCTTGCTGAATTTGTTTATTCATTATAAAAGTTTTGTTACAAAATTTTTAGAATTTTCTACATATAAGAACATATCATCTGCAAACAGATAATTTTACTTCTTCCTTTCTGATTTGGATAATTTTTTATTTCCCTTTCTTGCGTAATTTATCTGACTAGAACTTCCAGCACAACATTGAATAAAGGTGGTGAAAGCAGGCATTTTTGCCTTGTTGCTGATTTTAGAAGAAAAGCTTTCAGTCTTTTACCATTTAGTATATTCGTTGTGGGTTTTTCCAAATATGGCTTTTATTATATTGTGGTAGTTTCCTTCTATTCCTAATTTGTTCAGACTTTTAATCATGGAAGTATGTGCAATTTTGTCAAATGCTTTTTCTGCCTCAGTTGATAAGATCATGTGTTTTGTTTTTTCCTTCACATTCTTAATGTTGTATGTGGGCATTGATTGGCTTTTGCATGTTAAACTACTTTTACATCCCCAAAATAAATGGGGTGCATTTCCTTATAATGGTGCATAATCCTTATAATATGCTGCTTAATTCAGTTTGCTAGTATTTTGTTAAAATGTTTGCATTAAGATTTATAAAGGAATTGATTTGCAGTTTTCTTTTTTTGTAGTGTTTTTGTCTGGCTTTGGTATTAGGGTAACGCTGGCCTCATTGAATGACACAGAAAATGTTATCTCTTCTTCAGCTTCTTAGAAAAGTTTGAGAAAGATTTGTTTTAGTTATTTGAGTGTTTGGTAGAATTCACTAGCAAAGCCATCACGTCTTAGGCTTTTCTTTGTTGGAAGATTTTTTTTTAAATTCAATCTCCCTACTTCTTATAGGTCTATTCAAATCTTCAATTTATTTGTGATTTACTCTTGGTAGGATTTTGTTTCTCAAAATTTATCCATTTCTTCTTGCTTACGCAGTTTTCTGGCATACAATTGAAGTGGTGGTAATGCCCTTACTTTTTTGACTTTAGTAATTTGAAGCTTCTCTTTTTTGTTCTTAGTTCATCTAATTAAAGGTTTGTCAATTTTTTAAATTTCTCCAAAAAATAGATTTTGATTTTTATTAATTGTCTTTATTGTTTTGCTATTCTTTATTCTATATATCTCTTCTCTAGTCTTTATTATTTTCCTCTTCCTTCTTACTTTGGGCTTATTTTGTTCTTTTTCTAGTTCTGTAGGTTGTAAAGTTAAGTTATTGATTTGAGATTTTTCTTGTCTTTTAATGTAAGCATTTATAGCTATAAATTTCTACTTTGCACTGGTTTTTCCATGTCTCTTAAGTTTTGGTGTGTTGTATTTTGTTTTTTGTTTTTTTTTTCATTCATTACAAAGCATTTTCTAATTTCCCTTGTAATTTTTTCTTAGATCCTAATTTACTGAAAGACTTAATATGCCTTTAAAAAAGTAGTAGATTCTAACTATGTTTTAAAAATTCTCCATTTAGCCTAACAGTTAAGTAATCCACGTGGGTACCACACCTTAATTCTTCATATTGAATTACTGAAATTGTAATACACTGTGGTTAAAAGTCAAGAAAGGGCCCTTAAGTGAGTACTAAAAGTACAACTATTTATTTGGACAATATCTGTTTTGTAAACAAACTTCAAAAGTTATATTTGGTGTTACTTAAATATACAACTAAGAGAATTAATTACATTGCACATACAAACATAAGAACATTTAACGTAATTTTTTTTCATAAAAAGTCAAAAGGGTATGTTTCTATTATAGCACTAAAAGTATTTCTCCATAAACATTAAATATATGATATATAAATACATTTCTGTAATATCAAAGTTTTACTGGCAGGAAATCCTTTCGTTCTTTTTTTGAGACAGAGTTTTGTTCTTGTTGCCCATGCTGGAGTGCAAGGGCGCCATCTTGGCCCACTGCAAACTCTGCCTGCCGGGTTCAAGTGATTCTCCTGCCTCAGCCTCCTGAGTAGCTGGGATTACAGACATGCGCCACCACGCCAGGCTAATTTTGTATTTTTAGTAGAGATAGGGTTTCTCCATGTTGGTCAGGCTGGTCTTGAACTCCCAACCTCAGGTGATCCGCCCACCTCAGCCTCCCAAAGTGCTGGGATCACAGGCGTGAGCCACTGCGCCTGGCTAGGAATTTCTTTTGTCTGTATTACTCACAAATGACAAAGCTTTGGCAAATACAACAGATTATGCCTAGAAAATGCCAATAAAATGTTTGCATCCCTTTCTCAAAAACTTTTGAAGATTAGAAGAATGACCTCTAAAATCTTTTTACTTCAAAAAACAGATAATTAATTTGCACTTATTTATACATTTTACTGTGAAATGTAACACTCTTTTCTAATCAGTTGTCACTTATTCATTATATATTCTTATATGTCAGAAGAATAGGAAAAAAATAAATGCAAATTTATAAAAGTGTTCACACCCAAGAGGCACAAGAAAGTATTCAAGGGATCAAATAAAGCACATTAAAAAGTGTAAGAGAATATAAGGAAAACTCATGACTCATGGCATTAATACAATTAATCTATGAGACCTCAAAGAGTAGCTTAAACCATTCTTAATTGTGTCAATTAAAAACTGAGGGGATTGGACCACCTGAGTTTCACAGTTTCTTTGACCTCTTTTCAGCTTACATCATCTAGGATCTATTTCTCTTAGTTGTAACCAAGAATTCTGAATGATTCAACCTTCCATTTGCTTGCTTTCTACTACTGTTAATAATTCTAATTTTATTAACTTTGTTGTCCTTCATTATAGATTGTTTCAAAAGTATTGAGTAAAGAGGATATGACTAAAATAAAATAAATGGTAATAGCTTTAATTAACCTTATTTTATTTTACTGAAGATATTCTGTTTCCTACAAACTTCTCTTGCTTAAAATACTGATATTTGTTCAATTCAATTTCTACATAGCATTGTATTTTCTGGCCCATAGTCATTATAATCTAAAGTTCTGCTCTCATACAATTACCGCACATCAATACTCTTCACAGCACATGAGGCCAATCCCAGGCATTTGTTCCAGACTCACCAAGAATAAGTTTGATTTCCACTTACAGAGCTCACTCAAATGGTACCAACACACTTACATATATTCTGTTTGCTATCATTTCATTCAGTTCCATAATTTTGAAAATTATGTTTTTTTCAGAATATGGGTTAATGCATCTTTGGAAGCAATCATGTCTATGAAACTTATTTCACGGCTTCTCTCAAACTCTGCTCATGGAACACATTAATAGACACGGTGTTATTGGGTCCTGGTATTATGAAACATAGGCACCCAGGCTATGTAGTCTTGTGAGGTACATAAAAAGTTGAAAAGCAAGCAAAAAGAAGGCATTTTAAAATGCTCAATATCACTAATTATCAGGGAAATGAAAATCAAAACTGCAATGCAATACCACTTCACTCCTGCAAGAATGGCCATAAACAAAAAATAAAAAATTAATAGATGTTGGCATGAATGTAGTGAAAAGGGAACACTTTTACACTATTGGTGGGAATGTAAACTAATACAACCACTATGGAAAACAGGGTGGAGGATCCTTAAAGAACTAAAAGTGAATCTATCATTTGATGCAGCAATCCCATTACTAGGTATCTACCCAGAGGGGAAGAAGTATATAAGGTAGGTTGAGAGGCAGATGATTGGAGCAAGGGCAGGTGAGTGGCAGTAACTGAAATTCAAGAGACTAGTGAGGAAGCCAAACTGGGCCCTTCAATTGATACCTTCAGTTAGGTCTGAAGATCTATGAATGGGAACTAAAAGGTGGTCAGACAAATAAAAAAGAGTTGGGAAAGCTGGAGAATGTGTCTTGTTAAAAGATAAATTATATATGGGGCAAAGGAGAAAAAAGAGAAGTGTTTAAAGCTTCTAATCTGGCTTCCTGGAAAATTTAAGGATTTAGTGTAAGAAATGAGGGTGTTTGGAAAAAGAGTGTATTTAAGAGGATATGGTATGTTCCAATCTACTGTCCACACCTGTGACATTCTCTGCCATCATGGAAATGTTCTATTTTCCTTTCAGATTAATCCATTTACACAATAGATATTGGGAAAATTGGAACTATTGTAAATTTTATGACATGAGAGAAACATAGAAAGTCTTAGGGCAAAACTTGGTCTCAAATTTGGCATTGTGCATTGGTTAACTTATTCAATACACAGATAATAAAGGCTTAGAATATAAATTTGCTATCTCCCCATGTGTTTCCATTTAAAAGAAGACTTTAGCCCTTTTCATGATATAAATTGACTGGAGAGCTATAGCTCATTCTTATTCCATAAGTATTTTTAAGCTACCAAATGATTTTCTATATAAAGAAATTGATGAATAAATATAGATGACTTCTGATTTGCTTGCAAAATACTTTCTGTAGTCTGTGTTTTAGCTGAATCTGCTTCATCCTTTCATGCTTGCTAATAAGACATCTCTTTGGCCGAGAATGGTTTCTGGCTCATCCAAGTAAAACTCACCTGCTGTGCTGCTGCAGACATGGAGTGAGCCTTGTCATTCTGTTCTCCTCAGCAGAATATGACATGCGAGAAGTGAACTCAGCGTGCAGACTGGTGAAGCCAGCAGAGGGAGAGTTAAAGGGTTTATAGCTATGGCAGCATGAGGATTTTTACTTCCTGAGGATCCACATGACATGCCAAATTAAATATTTTCATTTGCCTGCTTATTAACATTTTAGTGAATCTTTCTACCACTCCAACTATCTTATGACATGGTAGATGTCAAAAAACCTATGCATTTATGTTGATCACATTTTGAAACACAGTATGTGTAACACAGATTGTTTTGTTCAAAAGATATGACCAATTATTAGTCTAGGTTAGAAGGTCACCAAATTGGGCAAACATTAATATCTGTTACTAGCATGTTTCAAACATTGACATTACGTTTTCTTTAAAACAATTCTCTCTCATACAGGGTTTTTTTGTGTTTTTTGTTTTTTCATGATAATCTAGCACTGGGCTCAAAACCATGCTGGCAAATCTATGAGATTCTACTCTGCAGAAATCTCTCGAGGAAATGAATCACTTTGGAAGAATGAAAAACATGTTCATTTCTACTCCAAAGAAGAAAACAAAGCAATGGCACAGGAAATGGTCAAGAGGAAAATAGTTATATCTTTCATAAGATTCACAAAGCCAGGTTCTATTAATTTTGGGTAGTAAATCCTTTCCTTTTAGACTCCAAAAGTTTGGTGGAACCAATATGCATGTACTTTAAAGAAGCATTTGTTGTAGAAACATCTGTCTAATTCCAATCTCAGCCTACGTGGGCCCAGTTGAGAGCTCTGCCAAGTAAACTTGTGCCAGTGTTGTGTCCCAGGGCCAAAGCTTGGGTAAATTTTTCTTCTGTGTGTAGCCAGGGTTGGAAGAACTAGAGAGATAAATCTGAGCCTGTTTCCTTCTGAGTGCCAAGTATTGATCTACAAGTCAAAAATACAAGAAGAGCAAAAACAGTTGACAAACTAAAGTTTAGGAATCAATTAAAACAGGAATACTCAAATGAAATTTGAACAATTAAAGTAGGAGAATAGCTGGAAACAAGCTAATTGGGGTACATTTTAGCGAAGTACCTGGGATTTATCTTTAGTTATTATATTCATTAAAAGTCTTTATTGAGCATCTGTTATACACTGGGCACTGTTTTCAGTACATAGGATACTTCAGTGTAAAATATCAAATAATAAGCTCTTACTTCTTAGAACTTAACTTCTAGACTGAGCGGGTAAGAGAAGATAATGCACTCTCTGTAGACATAAGTTAAATTATATAATTATAAGAAAATAATAGGTAATACAATAATTCAAACTAGAACAGAGTAATTTGGATTAGACTTAAGAAGAAAGGGATAGTTTGCAATTTTAACATGATCAGAGCAAACTTCATTTAAAAACTGGCATTTCAACAAAGATTTGAAGAAGGGGAAGGGATTACATGTAAATATCTGAGAAAATAATATTCCAGACAGGAGTAACAGTTAGTGTATGCCCTGAAGCTGAAATATGCCTTAACCATAGGAGGCTTGAAGTGTTTTTAGGTTGAATTGGCTTGAAGGTAAAAGAGTATTTGAACATTATCAAAGCTTACTGACTCATCTAATTTCTGAGTGGCTTCCCCGAGTGTTTAACGTTAGTCATCTGTGTTATGTCCATTAGCTTCCTAGAGCTTTTGCTGTCTGACTTTCTTTGTAAGACTCAGATGCTATTGTTCCTGGGAGACAACTGAGAATCTGCTTCTGTTCAATTGAAGGTCCACGAGCAACTTACCAAACACTGTTCTGAGAGTAGAACAGATTCAGATGGACCCATTCAGTTTATTATATGTAATGGTCACCAAAAATACTCACATCCACAAGCCCAGAACCTGTGAGTATGTTGCCTTACATGGCAAAAGAGAGTTTGCAGATGTGACTCAGTTGAGGATTTTGAGGAGAGACTATTTCTAGTTATCTCGGTGGCTGCAATATAATCAGTAGAGTCCTTATAAGAGGGTGGCAGGATTGTCAGTGTCAGAAAGAGAGAGATTTGAAATGCACATTTATGGCTTTGAAGATGAGGAAAGGAGCCCAAACCAAGGGATACAGATAGTCTCTAGAAGGTGAAAAAGGCAAGGCAATGGATTCTACCCTAAATCCTACAGAAGGCATCTTGATTTTAGGCCTTCTGACCTCCATTAATGTAAGAAAAAAAAATGTGTTGAATTAGGTCAGGAAATACGTGGTAATTCATTATAATAATAAGGAAATGATAATTATTATTGTAATAATAGGGATTTGTCAGCAATTTATTTTCAGTTGCCCTAACATGTTCTAATCCTAAAAATTCTGCTAATCCCAAAGGTCAGGATTCTGTGGATATGGATAAAAGTTACAGAGCAAAGAATTCTCAGTTTCTCCTTGACCTTTTTGAAAGCAACATTAAATCTCACAGAGACTGTTTCTTAAATTTATCAAAAACCTTCAGTATCTCATGATAACTGCTACAAGGAGCCAGGGAAGCCTCAGCCCAGACCAGGCCTTCATTAAAACTCAACAAATTTGGCTACGTAAAGATTGGCCTTGGCTTTTAGGAAGTCAAAGAGTTATTCACATTATTGCTTTTTCCTCTGTATACTGCGTTGTTCTCCTATTACCTTGACAAGGATAATACTTTTAATATGCACTGGCAGCTTTGTAAAAAGCCTACTATTTTTAAAAAATTATAGTTCTGGAATGTGGATAATATTTTGTGAACATTTGTATTCTAGTTTATACAATCAAGGCAGGATACAAAGATGCATCAGTATCTGTTAAAAAAAAAAGTGAATCCAACAGAATAGATTCTAGCTTTAGCCCTTTTGAAGAGTGTGTCCTTGAATAAGTCACTTTGCCTTGCTGTACCACTCTCTAGCCTCTTAAAAATGTAGTAATCAATAGGGTTATCAAGAGAACAAAGGCTCTGAGTTATCTATAGTTGAAGAAGAGCTCAGAAGTAAATTTCATAAGTATTTTAAATATAAAATGTTAGACTTGGAAAAGACCTTAGCAATGAATTGGTCCAAGACTCACTTTATATGAGTAAACCTGTGGACAGAGAAATACAGTGGTTTACACAATGTCACATAGCTGTTTAACATATTACTTTTTTCCCCAAAGAATCCAAAGACCTCAAAAAAATAAGCTGGTTCTTCTACTCTTCATTACAACTTTATTTTTAAATATCTCAATCAACTGTGTCATCAATAAATTGCCACTTCACTGAGACTAAAAGTGGAGATAGTATCCACTGAGTTAGCAGTTCCCTGTGAAATGATGAGCCTACATAAATAAGGAAGTAGAAGCAGAAAAACTTTGAATAAGGAACTTTTCATATGTATAAAAGCTATGGCTTCCTCTAATTTTAGTTTCCTTCTTTCTGGCTGTAGAAAGATTCTATGTCATTCAGCTATTGTAAATACCATGTAACCAATGGTCGTTCCACTACCATACGGACATTTTTTCTCATTATTTTTCTTATAACCTACTTTCATGAGTAACTCTAAAATTAATTGTGGCGTAGTTGGGCAGTGGTTATTCCTCTTCAGAGATATTTCTGAAACATCCACAATGCAAAGCTAACCTCATTGATCAGGTATGAATGTGTTCATAAAATGAATGCTGGAAAATATCTCATATATCATATTATTTGTGAATATATATCTGTGTGTGTATGTGTACCTAAGAATACATCTAGCCAAGAAGATGAAAGATCTTTATGAGAAAAACTACAAACATTGATGAAAAAAGTCAGAGATAACACAAACAAATGGAAAAAACATTTCATGCTCATATATTAAAAGAGTCAATATTTTTAAAATACCTATTCTGCCTAAAGCAATCTACACATTCAGCGCTTTTCCTACCAAACTACCAATGTCATTTTTTTCACAGAATTAGATAAAAACTCTTCTAAAATTCAAATGGAACCAAAAAAGCCCCCAAATAGCCAAAGCAAACCTTCAAACACATATAAAAAACTGGAAGTATCACATTACCTGACTTCAAACTATGCTATATAAGTCCACAGTAACCAAAACAGTATGGGACTGGGGGAAAAAAAAAAAGATACATAGACCAATGGAACAGAATAGAGAACCCAGAAATAAAGTTGCACACCTACAGCCATCTGATCTTTCAGGAAGTCAAAAAAAGCAAGCAATGGGGAAAGAAATTCCTATTTAATAAATGGTTCTTGGATAGCTGGCTAACTATATACAGAAGAGTGAAAGTGGACTCCTACCTTTCATCACATACAAAAATTAATTAAGCATTTAAATGTACAACGTCAAACTATAAAAATCCTAGAAAACAATTTAGGAAACTCTATCCTGGACATTGGCCTTGTAAAAGAATTTATGACAAAGTCCTAAAAAGTAATCACAAAAAAAATGACAAGTCGGACCTAATTAAAGATCTTCTGCACAGCAAAAGAAACTATCAATAAACAGACAAGCTATAGCGTAGGAGAAAATATTTGCAAACTATGCATTCAACAAAAGTCTAATATCCAGAATCTATAAGGTACTTAAGCAATTCATCAAGCAGAAAACAAATAACTTTGTTAAAAAGTGGGCAAAAGACATAGGCAGACATTTCTCAAATGAAAACATACAAGTAGCCAACAAACATATTAAAAAATGTTCAACATCACTAATCATCAGAGAAATTTAAATCCAAACCACAATGACATACCATTTCACACCAGTCAGAATGGCTACTACCAAAAACAAACAAACAAACAAACAAAAAACATGCTGGTGAGGCGTCAGAGAAAAGGAAATGCTTATACACTTTTGGTGGGAATGTAAATGAGTTCATCCACTCTGGAGAGCAGTTTGGAGATTTCTCATAAAACTTAGAACCACCACTGGATCCAGTAATACCATTACTGGATATATATCCAAAAGTAAATAAATTGCTCTAACAAAAAGACATAAGCACTCATATTCATCACAGGGCTATTCACAATAGCAAAGACATGGAATCAGCCTAGGTACCCATCAATGGTGGATCCATAAAAAATAATGAAATTATTTCTTTGTGACAGTATGGATGCAGCTAGAGGCCATTATTCTAAGCAAATTAACACGAGAATAGAAAACCAAATACTGCAGATTTTCACCTACAAGTGGAAGCTAGACACTGGGTACTCATGGACATAAAGACAGCAATAGCAGACACTGGAAACTACTAAGATGGGGAGACAAGGAGGGGGCCAAGAGTCCAAAAGCCACCTATTGGGTGCTATACTCACTACCTGGGTGATGGGATCATTTGTACCCCAACCTCAGCATTACATAAGGTATCCATGTAACAAACCTGCACATATACCCCAAATCTAAAATAAGAGTTGAAATTATAGATAAAATAAAAGTTTTATCAACATATATGTATCACTATATGTATTATATTATGTATAATTAATATAATAAATATGTATCAATAAAATATATTTTTTCCAGCCAGTCATTCATGTTACCTGTCCTCCTGTTCTTTAACCTCACAAAAATAAAATTGGGCTTTCAAAGTTTTTTTTCCTGTTGCCCAGTAGAAAAAAAATGTTGTGGCTTCTACTTAAAGTCATCTAATTTAACATCAAGGCTAAAACAGGGAGAATATCAAGAAGCTTAAGTATGTGGACAGAGAAGGAGACATTTTCATAAGTGTTAAATAACAAACAGAGAAATTTTCCTGAATGCTTCACTTCACATGACATTTGCCTTCATAAAGATTGCTCAGTACAGAAAAAAAAGAACTTTGAGAAACCCTTGAAAAAATGTATGAGATAGAACTGAACAGGCATGAGCTGTCATGCCTAGGATAAGTCAAAGAAGGAAGTCACCATGAAACATACAAAACAAAAGTGACATGGGAATCACGAGGTCATAGAATTAAGCCTGCCACCCGGTGGAATGTCACACAGCATGCAAATTAAAATTAAGGTCTCAGTACTGAGCTACTCAAGTAAAGGGATGAGCATTGTTGGAATATACCTTGAGTTGGACACACAAGTCCACTATGGTGAGATGTTTTTTAATGTCTCTACTAAACCTAATTTGATTCTGCAGAATATCTGCCTTAAAGTAACATTACATTTAGGTCTATCTAACTCCATTCTTTTGAAATACAAATTGGCCTACCCACTTAGTTCTCCATATGTAATATGTCAGGAATAAGAATTTTTCTTTGTAATAACTAGTCACATTAATAAACATTTCTTAGTATCTTTTGATACATAGAACAGACTCTTGCTTGAGTATTAGGAAATATGAAGAAAGTTTATTGCCCTGTGAGAAATTCGTAATTGGTCACTTGGTGAATTTGTACTTTATTGCTTTTCCTCTGAGAAATGCATTCCTTGGTTTATAAGACCTTGAAATCTCTAAGATAAAGAAATTTTGTTTCTATTAATGTTGAGAAACGTCATCACTATTATGTTTTTATGGTTGGATCTTTGGTGGTTACCCATTATCATTACAGACAACAATTTCACACTGTGCCTCTAACATTCTCAAATATATGAATTAACAAAGAAATTGTATGAAATCCTGAGAAGCACAGAAAAATGTATGTCTTTTTTTTTCTTAAGCTAGATATTTAAGAACAAGGCACAATACATCTTGAAAAAAAGATTTATAGAACTAATAAAATCTTGGCAAATAAAGCATTATGATTCCATTCACAAATGTGATAAAGACAGTAAGCTAAACTTTCAAAGCTGCATCTTAGACACTTTATCCTAACTAGGTTTTCTAAGATTTAACCACCCATGCGAATTACTATGTGTTGTGAATTTCAAGTACCATTTTTGCCTTTATTTATTGGATCTGCTAATTTTTCACTTCTGAGTCACAGCATTCCAGCTGAGTAATCATTGCATCATTATTTTAAAAAAAGGAAAGAAAGGAAGGGAGGGAGGGAGGAAGGAAGAAAATTATAAAACTCATAACTTTTTTGCAAAACAAAACCATGTTTTCCTCCAAAATACAAGAATTGACAGCAGAGTTTATGCTTTTCTCACAATTGCAAATACAGTTGACCTTTGAACAACATGCATCTGAATTGCACGAGTCCACTTATACATGAGTTTTCTTCTGCGTCTGCCACATCTGAGACAGCAACACCAATTTCTTCTCTTCTTACTCCTCCTCAGCCTACACACTGTAAACACAATGAGGATGAAGACCTTTATGATGATTCATTTCCACATAATAAATAGCAAATATATTTTCTCTTCCCTGTAATTTTCTTAGTAACATTGTTTTTCCTCTAGCTTATTTAATTGTACAAATTCAGTTGTACAAATTCAATTGCACAATTAAATAAGCTAGAGGAAAAACAATGTTACTAAGAAAGTATATAATACGTATATAAAAGCATATAATACATATATAAAATATGTGTTAATAGACTATGTTGTCAATAAGGGTTCTGGTCAACAGTAGGCTATTACTAGTTAGAAGTTAAAGGAGTCAAATGCTACATGTGAGTTTTTCATTGCATGGGGGTTGGCGCCTCTAACAACCGCATTGTTCAAGAGTCAACTGTACTTTTCATTATTAAAAAAAGAAAAAACTATACTCACTAAAAACTTAGTTGCTGATAGAAGCACTCCTAGCATCAAAATCTGTATTACCCAGAGTTTTCCAGAGAAACAGAATCCACAGGCTATGAGTGTGTGTGTTTATATGTTAATATCTAAATGTATATATATAAGCAGAGGTTCATTTTAAAGAATTGGCTCATGCAATTATGGAGGCTCAGTGTATCCAAAATCTTGTAACGTTGGTCACCGGTCTGGAGACTCAGGGAAGAGTTGAAGTTTGAGTCCAAAGGCTGTCTGTGGCAGAATTTATTCTTGTTGTGGAGGTTGAGTCTTTTTTTTCTATTTAGGCCTTTAATTGATTGGATGAAGCCCACTTATGTTACAGAGGGCTCTTTTCTTTACTCAAAAGTTCCCTGACTTATATGTTAATCTCATCTAAAAAACACCTTTACAGAAAACATCCATAATAATGCTTCATCAAATATCTGGGCACCATGGCCCAGCTGAGTTGACACATAAAATTAACCATCACAAACATAGATATAAAACCAGTTCTATCAACAGAAGAAAAACTCAAGGAGAGAGAAACATTGTTACAAGGCCAGGTACCCATTGCCCCTTTTATCTCAGCTCAGATGTGCCTGCAGTATGTTTAAAAGAGCACAAAGCCCAGTTACCAAAACTGTTTCTTCTGAAAATCATGCATGTGTGTGTTTATGTGTGCATAGCCCAGATGTATTATTCTAATGGAAATTTTAAGCAACATGGAATAATATTTTAGAATTTGTAAATCCTTACATATCACCATGTCATCAGTGACCTTATCTGTAGACAGAGTATCTTCCATTCCCCATCCCCTAAGCCCTAAGGGAGAAATATTTTCTGCTTCTTTATTTCAATTTTCTCTCTTAGATTGGATTGCCTTGCTGTCTAAATATGAAGCATTTTGTGACCAACTGTATCAAGTGCCTTTCTTCTCTATATTCATAACTCTTCATAAATTATCTATTCTTTGTTAAATTTGTGGGAATTCAAAAACAGTGCATTTCAAACTTTTTAAATGAATGTCATGTGTATATCATTGGGGTCAACCATTTTAAAGGACAATGGTTGTAGAAAAGCAGCTCTTTCATACATTCTACATTTTGATTTTGTTATGGTTTGACAGTGTCTCCCCAAAAGCAGGCATTGAAAACTTAATCTCCAGTGGAAGTTTTGGGAGGTGGGGCCTAATGAGAGGTGATTAGGCCATAAAGACTTTGCCCTCATGAATAAATTAGTGGCTTTATCACAAGAGTGGGTCTCTTGTAAAAAGACAGTTTTGCCTTCTTTTGTCTCTCCCTTGCCCTCTCTTTGCCCTCCCACTCTTCTGCTATGGGATGATGTAGCGAGAAGACCCTTGAAAGATGCTGGCATCTTGATCTTGGACTTTCCAGCCTCCAGAATGTGAGAAATAAACTTATGTTCCCTACAAATTACCCAGTCTCAGATATTCTATTATAGCAGCACAAAACAGACTAAGAGATTATCTGAGCTTTTGCAGCAGTACCCTGAGAATAGTCAGTAAGAATTATTAATGACAATGATGATAGTGATAGTGGTGAAGATAGTGAGAGTGGTGGTAATGCGGAAATGACAAGAAAGTAAAAAGGGCAATCGTGAGAATAATCTCTAAGTCAAGACTGAACATAAAGTATCACAGTCCAACTTGAATTCCACCATTTAAGATAACATTATTTACTATTTTCATTTCAACCTTCTATATTTGCTAGATTTTCTTTGCCAATACCAGCGAGAAATTGGCCAAGAACTATGTTACAGACCAACTACATGTCCCTTGTGGGACTGATTAATTAAAACCTGGCACTGATGAGATAAAGCTGATCCAGAAAGTGGTCGCTAGCAATATATTCCTTAGGGATTCCCAAGATTAGCTAGTAATAGGCACCTGAGGGCTATGTGACTAGCTAATATACAAGCTGAAGGGATTTCAGAGCTTTCCTTGAGTCAAGTTCATCTGCTCATGCTCAGCTTCATCTCTCATGACTTTGCATGTTTCAAATATAGAATAATTATGACATTAGAAGTTGGGCCTGGGGCTCACAAAACCTCCACTTTGCTGTTTCTGCGCATGCTGTGTTTGGTCCTGTCCAGTATTATTTCTTAAAGATAAGTAGACAATGCTGGGTAAAACCTATTGTGTCTCATGATTTTGACTGTTCATTTGAACTCAAGAAAACAACTACCAGTGGAGTCAAGTGAGCACTGTTGATATGTAGGTATCTGTATGCTGAATCTGAATGTGGGTCATGATCCAAAAAGTTTCAAAGCCACTGCTTTAGGAGAAAAGCTAACACTAGCATTGCTTGTGATCAAAGAATTATATTTGAGGAAACAATTATTTCTATTAACACAATATCATGCTAAGAGGGGAAATGAAACTCACACATTACCTGTATTAGTGTCCAAAGAAGACTAAGCAACAGAGTAAGACTGCATTAATATCAACTGACATCCACGGTGGTAGAAGTTGCAAGAACATGATGGACTGGGTGTGGAACAGAAACTCTGTTATACTTTGCAAAAGCGATGAGTTCTAAAGTAAAAGAGCACATAATATGAAGGGTTTAAAAAGGGACTTCAGAAGAAAAATGAAAAGAAAAGGGAAAATGAAAATGAAAGAGCTGGTGCAAAGAAGTATGCATGTACCTCCTGCAGCTACACATACAGGTGCCCATGTGCATGCACCCGCAGAGATTGTGCACAAAAATGTTCCAACTCACAACTATCAAGTTGTTTCTGGAGAAGTCAGACAATTTGGAAATTGCTACCCATAGGTGTCTGACAGGATTATGCAGGACCACATAGAAAGAAACATGGGCACAAAAATAAATGTTTATACTTAGGCCATGAGCAAATTGGCCATCTCTCTTGATACATTCACAGAGCATAGGTGGAAACTTTCCTTGGGCATAGGCAGAAGTCCACCCACCTAGCAGCCTAAACAAGTCTCTGAAATTGTAAACAAATGTTTAAATCCAATAGCAATTGTGGAGCTCATCAATTAGTATGTTAGTCACTTTGTAAGTTTTAAAGTTGAAAAGTATTATGGGTTGAATTGTGTTCCTCAAAATTCATATATTGAAGTAGCAACCCCAAGAACCTCTGAATGTAACCATATATGGAAATAGGTTCTTTAAAATGGGAATTAAAGTTAAATGAGGCCCTCCAACCCACGCAATTACCTTTGTAGATAGGGTGTTTAAAAAGATGATTAAGTTAAAATAAGGCCAACAGCATGTACCCTAATCTAATATAACTCGTGTCCTCAAAAAAAAGAGAATGGGACACATGACGCAATAGAACAGAGAAAAGGCCACATGAGAACACAGTGAGAAGACTGCCATCTTCAAGACAAGGAGAGAGACCTGAGGAAAAATCAGACCTGTCAAACTTTGATCTTGGATTTCCCACTTCCAGAACCATGACAAAATAACTTTTTCTTCTTTAAGTCAATTCTGTGGTATTTTGTTATGGCAGCCCCTAGCAAAAAGGCAGATTATGAAAAGACAGTGTTAAAAAGTGAACATTATAATATTCAAAAGAGAAAACATTGTAATATGATATTGAAACAATATGTTTCATATTACTGAAAGAATATATAGATATATGCTTGCTTCTATTTTTTTGGTTTTATTTTTACACAAAATAGCAGTACTGGAATAGCAACTTTTATTTTTTCTTAATAGGAGGTATCTTCACACTGTGCCAGGAAGCCATTAAGTATTTTTAAGGCTATGAGGTAATGGACTGTGTGTTCATTGTTCTTGGTCTAGATATTTCTTACTAAGTGTTGGAAAGCACTTAGGAGTAACAAAGCTAAATCAATTCTTTGTATTGACTTATGTTGATATTTTTCATATAGATAAATTTTCTCCTTTCATTAATGAAAAACAGAATCCACGTAAATAAAATAATCTTGGTGTTTGTGAATCATCTACAGGATGTGTTAGAAAAAGTGTTAGTGGCCTTCAAAAGCCTTTACAAAAACGTCAGGGTGGTCAGTTACCTTAGAGTTTTGTTTGTTTCACTTTTTCCTTGTTTCTTTTTTCATAAATTTATAAAAGGATCCAAATATATTTTTAAAAAGTAAAATAAATATTCATGAGTACTCTCTGTTGAAGCGTTGTGTATAGACGTGCTTCACTTTTTTTCTTCAGGGCCACATTCCTTATTCTTTCTATATTTCCCCACTATAAGACTACCTATGAAATAAGCAAAATCAATATTTTGCCATCTGGGCAAATGGTTAACAAGCCACCAACTTTTTTTTGGTTAAGTGTCTTATCATAATGTGCTTGATGTCAAGTCCACTGCCATTCTACTAATAAAGAAACTGACAAATAATAAAGGATTATTGGGATGGTCCGGAGCTCTTTATCCATTTTACTATGACATTATGTGCTATCCAAGGCAAAAGTAAAATTAACTGAGAGAAAGAAGCTAACAGTTTTCAAGTTTTTAATTTAACCAGGCCACTCAATAGGTGCAATTATGATTCTTCTAACTTAATCATCAGAACAAATGATATGAGATAGGGTTAACACTCATTTTACAATTAAGGAAACTGAGACCAGAAGAAGTTAATAAACTTGGAGGACCCTGGTCTATTGGAGTCTAAAGTATATGTTCTTTATGCCATTTTCAAAGGTGACACATGCCATTATAGACACAAAAGTATTATATTAAACAACATTTGTATTTAGTCTACTCAACAGTTTTGCTGACTGCCTCATACTATGGTGGATACATAGCACCTCTAAATTTCTTCACCTTTAACGTAAGGAGGGGATGTTCTATCAGTGATCTTCAAACTGTACTCTCACCAATTCTGTGAGTTTAATAGGGTTGCTTCAAGGGAAAAAATGTGCTATTGTGGTATCCCCTTAATTTTTAAACAGAATATCTCCTCTTTGATTTGTTTAACCTACCAACTTTCTTGTGAAAAAAAATGTATTTCACTGATTTTGAAGAAAAAAAAAGTATTATCCAACTAGAGGTTTTAAAAATGCCCTCCCTTGGTAATATGAATACACATATAGTTTACTGCCTTTAAAAACCTTGCAATTTAGCTATAAAATAAAACAAATGAATGAAGAATATAAGAGGCCTTTAAAGGCAGTACATGACTACCCATGGGGTAGCCAGGGAAGAAGCTTCTTCATTCAGCTCAGGTCCTGTTGGCATTATTAAGGTGACTCTGTCTGTGCTGGGGAATGCAGGAGCTTCTTTCTACCCCTACTGCCGACTACTGGACTTTGCTTCCTCTAAGAAGACTGTAAGATCCCAGTGTTCTAGAATTTAAAACTTAATAAATGTAGACATATAGTATAATTTTTGAATAATTTAAATTTCTATCTTATTAAAAATAAAGTTTTACATAGAGAAGAGAAAGGAAAAAAACACTCAACCACCTACAAGATAATAATAAGAGAAGCAAGGTGAACTATTGGCTACTTTTCCTCATACATCACTCTTCCGATATAAAATCACCTTTATGAAAAATATATAGAGGACTATTCAATAGTCTTCACTTTCTATTTTGTGAGTTATTTGAATTTGAGAAGCTAATGAGTACATTCCACACTAAAAGCCAAAGGTGCAATGGGCATAGGAGTCTGGCAGATAGAGATAAACCCAGTTCATTACCGTCAGAGTTGTTGAAGTATGTATGTTGGGCTCATTAGGCAAGTTGGGCCTTCTAAGAATTTCCTCCAGTCAGTCACCGGCAGCTGTAATATTCCCCTTTCCACCACTTCACCCCATAAAATGGTTTGGTTCTGCAAAATTTACTGCCTGGTCTTGAGCAAAACAGTTAAATGTGTTTTCTTCAGGCTCACTCGCCAGAAATATTGTTTCTCCTTTAGAAGGAAGGAATAAGAAGGACATTGACAAGGACTGGCTGACATCAATTGGCCCAGTCCTTTGGTCTACTTTGGCTTTTCAGTGCCTCTTCTATAGTTGATGGAATTTCTAGGCTTTTTGGTGTGTTTTATATGTAATACAAAAACTTTCACACTTTGCATGCACTCCCATATGTTCAACCACATTCCTCTACACCACAATTCCTCATCTGCAATTTTCTAATCCTTTCCCTTCCAGGCCACTGACATATATTCTCACTTTCAGTCACTTTCACTTCAAAGTAGAGAAGATCAGGTGAACTGTTTCCAGCTTTACTCATTGGGATATTTGCCCCTCACTACTTTTTTTTTAAGGCTATCCTCAAATGTCACTGTGATGCAACCACCATCCATTTTTCGCTTGCACCCAAAATAATGACCTAATACAACCTTAACCTAATCTTAACCAAGCAGAGACTTCTTTCTTTTCCTTCAGCTGGTTATTTAGGACTTTTCCTATGTACCTGTGGGTGACACATAGAAGTACTTCAGTGAAAGGTGATGTGAAAGTCTGTGCTACCCAGCGGTGCAGCTGACTTGCATTCTCTAGTCTTGCTTGAGCACAATAACAGATGCACTATTTTTTTTATTTCATAGTGTGCTGCTACGGCATCTGTTTTTTATGACATAGTAAGTCCAGTTCAAGAGGGGCTTTCTAGTGGGCAGTCTGGATACACAATCACTTAGGGGGCTACAGACTGAATGATTGTGTCCCCTTAAAATTCGTATGCTGAAGTCCTAATGCCCGATGGGATGGTATGTGGAGGCAGGGCCTTTGGGAAGTAATTAGATCATGAGGGTAAAGTCTCCATGATCGGATAGTGGCCTTATAGGAAGAGACTGCAGAGAGTAGTTTCCAGATCTGAATATTGGCTTAGGCCGTGGAACTGAGCAACATTTTATTAGAGCAATTGATTGCCCTCAGCCTCCTTCTTCTCCATTCTTTTTTGGTTTTAGTTTTATTTTATTTTTAACTGAAAAATAACAATTGTATATATTTATGGAGTGCAATGTGATGCTTTCTACATGTATACCTTGTAGAATGATCAAATCAAGCTAATAACTATATCCCTTACCCAAATGTTTACCATTTCCTTGTAGTATAAAAATTTACAGTCCTCTTTTAGCTATTTTGAAATATACCACTATAGTTAATAATAATTTTGAAATAGCTGCCTCTTCATTATTGCTGTCCTCTGATTGCAGATCTTAAACAGCACTCAGTTACTATCCATAGCATGCACTGAAGAGTACCACATTCTGTTAACCATCTCCACAACTCCTGGAAGGGTCACCTTCCCTTGGCTCTCTCTCTGACTTTTCTACTTGCTGTCATAACGTGGTTCTCTACTTTCTTGTCAGAGAAGCCCAATCTCTTTTCCTCTATTACTTTGAGGGCAGATCTCCTGGCAATTAACATGCTAACTCTGTAAAACCTATCCTGCCATTAGCCCTAGCTTAAAGAGGAGAGCCAGAGAAGAACAATTGAGTGAGGTTGCAGCCCTCTCACCAGCACACTCTTTATGGCTTTGGCAAATAGCATGTTTTGGAGCTTTCCCATGAAGCATAATAATTTGATGGATCTTCTGGCTTCATTTTATATATTCAAGCCAGAACCTCCACTTTCCTCAATCCTATTCCTTCTTCTTCGGTTAGCTAGGGAAACTTAGGCTTTTCCACTTTTCTCAGTATGAACCATGTTTTCTCCAGGCTTTTAAGAGCTACCCTAGTAATGTGTCACCCTGGGATTCCTGTCAGGTTATTAAATCCTATGTCCCCCAAAAAACTGTCCCCCAAATTAATAAATCCTTACTTGTCCAATCGTAGGTTCCAGGCCCCTGATCAAAATCAAATCCTAGGGGTGTCACCCTGGCTTCTACAGAAACATGCCGGCTAATTCTTGCAGCTTCTTCAGGATATAATTTTTTCCTTGTTAGGCTCCGTGTGCTTCCAAATATGTTGTAGGTTAATCATATTTTTGGGCTGACTACAAGAAAAATGAATGGGACAATTTCTATAGCAGAAATATGTTGTCTTAGGAAAGAGAAAGTGGCTTTTCTTATGCCTTCTCACATTCTGGCTGCTACTATGAATCTGCCATTTCTAGGGGTTCAGATAGAGTCTATAGAGTCATAAACCTGAGGATGTATGCCCAAATGAAATTATATCTGCTGCTATGATTTCAATGTTTGTCCCCTCCAAAACTCACTTTGAAATTTAATTGCCATTGTAACAGTATTAAGAGGTGAGACCTTTAAGAGATGATTGGTATGTGAGGGTTCTGCCCTCATGAATGGACTAATGTCATTATTGTGTGAGTGAGTATCTTATAAAGGGCAAGTTCTGTCCCCTTTGCTCTCTCTCATCATTTCTTATTCCTTTCACTCTTCTGCCATGTGAGGAACAGTGTCTCCTCACCACTCCGCGTGGTCAAGGCACCCTCTTGGAAGAAGAGTCTAGGCCATTACCAGACACAAACACGCCAGGGCCTTGATCAGGCACTTCCTAGCCTCTAGAACTGTGAGAAATAAATTTGTATTCTTTATAAATTACTTATTCTAAAGTATTATGTCATAGCAGCACAAAATGGATTAAGACACCTACCTTGGCAAAACAATGCAGCCTTAGCTAAGCATTTACCATGGTCTCCAAAGCTCCAAGACCTCAACTATTACATCCCAGGCTTCTCCTCAGATGTCTCCTGTTCAGGAAATAAATGCCATTTTGTAAACCAAATAAGCCCTCCGCTTTTACATTTAGCCTTTCATTCTTGTCAATAGTTCTCAGTTTCTCTTTACCTTCTGCCTGGCATCAGTACAACTTAGTAATAAATAGCCAATTCCGCTGTCCTTGTAGACATTGCTTTCCCCATATCTTTTAAATGCCTGAATCATCACACTGGCAAAAATCATCTCCTTTACTGAGACATCTTTTCCACTGGTGAAATCTTCAGCAACTGGACTATCCTCCTGCGTTAGGAACTAGCTTTGCCCCACTTTGCCCTCAAGATAGGGCACTCAGGATAGTACTTATTACCAGCAGGATAGTGAATGAGAAATTTCCACACTCCATCTTACCACTTATTATTTTAGGCCACTCTCAGTACCAGCTTCCAGCCTAGGTCCTCCTAGAAGCAAACATTAAGACT
Source organism: Homo sapiens (assembly GCF_000001405.40). Taxonomy (NCBI): domain Eukaryota; kingdom Metazoa; phylum Chordata; class Mammalia; order Primates; family Hominidae; genus Homo; species Homo sapiens. Next base: position 110,430,093 of record NC_000003.12, read on the forward strand.
GGATTTTGATGTACATGCAACTTATTGCAGGGAAAGCCTTTGAAGGATGAAGTGGGAAAGAGCAAAAGTGGACAGAGAAGGCATTCTGACTATGATGCATGAATGATCCCTGTGAAAAAAGGAGGGAATAAAGGATGAGAAAGAAAGAGCCTCAAACTATAGTGTAGTTCCTCAGTCACAGCCTACATGGAATCTCTTATAGTTTTCCCATGAGAGACAGATTGTCTATTATAGGAGTCCCACAGGAATGATAGTTATCTGGCTCTAGCATTCCCCACTGTGTTCCAACACTGGCTGGAAACATCTTGCAGGAAAAGTAGTCTTGCTGAATGCCTTCGTGTTAAGATTGAAGTATATTTAAAAGTATGACAGTCAGGGTGTCCCCCACTGCAAGTTCTCCTGAAGGGATATGTGAAGTGCATCCCCATATCCCCACAGTAAACATTAATCTGCAATTTTTAGCAATGACATTATAAAGTCATTCTCAGAATTAAAACAAGGGTCTAAAACATAAGAACAATAACGTATAGATTAGGGGATATACTTTAACATAATGGAAGAACACCACCCTAGAATTCAGGAGAATTTTGCTTTGTTTGTTATCAGTGGGTCAAGTTACATAGGTCCGTGAAGCTCTATTTTTCAATAAGTTAAATAAAAATAATAGAGTGAAAATCTCCTATCTAGAACTATTGAACTGGTTATTTAGGAAAAAATCACTTAATGGGTAAACACATTTTAATGATTTATTTATGTCATACACGCACACACACATGCACACACACATAATTTGAACATTTAAACAAGGTGCATGTCATTACAACCTTTGAACTAGGATCCATATGTTTGAATTTATATTTGCTAATTGGAGTTCTGACTTTTTATTTTTGCAGTGTGATTACAGAATCCAACTAGGGTTTTTTAATTAATTAATTATATTATAAATGAAAATATTGTAGTTGGATATATTTGTAAGGTACAAAGTGATGTTTTGATTTATGAATGCAATGTGGAATAATTAAATTAAGCTAATTAACATGCTCATCACCTCGAATGCTTAGTATTTGGGAGGGTGAGAACATTTGAAATGTGTTCTCTGGTAATTTTTAATGCGCTATACACTATTATTAACTATATTCACCATGATGTACAATAGATCTCAAAAAATATCTAATCCTTCTGTCTAACTGAGGCTTTGTACCTTTCGACCATCATCTCCTCATTCTCACTACCCTCTAACCTCTGGTAATCACCACTTGACTCCCTGTTTCTATGGGCTTGTTTTAGATTCTATGTATAAGGGAGAACACAAGGTGTTTGTCATTTCTGTGCCAGGCTTATTTCACTTAGTATAATGTTCTTCAATTCCATCCATGTTTTCCCAAATGACAAGGCTTCTTTCTTTTTTTAAGGCTATTTAATAGCATTCCATTGTGTACATATACCACATTTTATTTATTCATTCATCTGTTGGTAGACACCTAGGTTGATTCCATAACTTGGCTGTCGTGAATAGTGCTCAGTTAACATGGGGCTGCATACATCTACTCATTACACTGTTTTCAAATGGTAATTTTCCATTTTTCACCAATCTTACACAGTTATTTTTCTGTACCTTATTTGATAGCAACGTTTAAGCAAGTCAGCTTACTTAAACTGTCCCAAGCATTTAAGAAGTTTTCATGGAAACCAGCACTCTTTTTGCAGTCATTTTTAATCTGTATATACAATTATTAATGGAACAGGTTTAGAACCAATTCTTGGTAAAATGCAACTCAAGTACATTGACACTCCAGAAATTAGCCTATAACCTGGTAGAATTTACTGTGCATATAGACATAGAATAGAGCTGTGATTACACAGAATAGGTTACATGAAGACAGATTAAGGAAGCATTCACAATTCTCAATGGGATTTTTAAGATAATAAATGTACAAGTCTATGCTGGATTAATTAATGAATTGATAATCCACAGGTACCAATAACTTGATTAATTTTTAAAATTTTATACTTTATATATGTATTTCTCTATATTGTGATTGACTTTTAACTTTTCTCTACCAAGACATTGTTTCTATGAAACTCCATGTTAGAATCATTTTCTTACACAAGTACGCACATTCACTAGATATTTTCAGAGAAGGCACAAGTTCTCCTTTCTAAAAAGGCATTCATACCCTTGCTTATCTTCCTTGGTCTCTCCAGTGACCAGGTATGTTACACACGTAAACGAGCATGTCACTGGGGTTTGGTGTATTAATTATCCCATCACCCAAGTAGTGAGCATAGTACCTGATAGGTAGTTTTTCAACCCATGCCCCCCTCCTTCCCTCTCCCCTCTAGAAGTCCCGAATGTCTATTGTTGCCATCTTTATGTCCATGTTTACCCAATGTTTAGCTCCTGCTTATAAGTGAGAGAATGTAGCATTTGGTTATCTGTTCTTGCATTAATTCACTTGGGATAATGGCCTCCTGCTTATCCAACAATTTGAAAAGGAGAACAGGCCAGGAAAACTGACCAACAAATAGGAGCAATGCTGCTTCATTTAAAACTATCAAGTTCCCTTTTCTGCTTCACCTAATTGGGTGCACGTTCTCATGTCCTTTTTATCACAAGGTCAGAACCAAATGCCTACATTATTAAATAGTCTTTTAGCTGACAAGTTCAGTGCAACAACTAATTATGACATTTTATCATGTGCTGGGCATTATGGAAAAATTTTAAAAAGGTTAATATAGTCCCTATTTTAACAAAGCTGACAATAAATTGGGTAATTTTAAGAGATACAAATAATCGCAAAAGGCAGGAAATACATTAATTTAAACAAATTTTTTCAATTATTTAAAAAGTAACATTATGTAAGGTATAATAGCAATTTAAGAAAGGAAATTATGAGGCCAACATTTGGGCCAAAATTGAGAGAATGAGAAAGAGCAACCAAGCAAAGATCTGTGTGAAGGACATTCAAAGCAGAATGATTAGAAAGTATAGAGTCCCAGAGACAGAAATAAGCTTTCTATAACTGAGGAATCCAGAGTAGTCCAAAGTTGCTGGAGTATAACAAGCTCAAGGGATTATGGTGTGAGGTGAGGTCAGAGGGCAAGAATTCACAGACCAGGGGATCTTTTCGAGGTTGTAGAGAGCTTGTAGAGGCATTTAATACATATTTTTAATGAATATGTATAATATACATATTATACATTATACATTATTCAGTACACATATTAATGAAAAATTCATTAATATCATTACTATTTGATTAACATATTAATATATAATATATATCATCTATACATAGTCATATCATTTATCATATATCATAAACATTATATATTATACCGTATCAGATAATATCTATAATACCTCATATATATGGTGTGTATATATGATATAATATATAAATGAAATTAAATGACATAATAACACATTATATATTATATTACATATGATATTAGATATATATGATATATTATATATTAATGTTATTATATATGATATAATATTATATATGAGATAATATATAATAATGACATATATTATATATTAATGATATATATTATATATAATACAATATATCATATATGCATACATTGTGTAGTATATGATATATATGATATATGATATATAAATGAAAAAATATGTTTATGATATGTATAAATGAAAATATATATTAAAACATATGCACATCATATATATACATATACATACATACATACATTTAAACAATGAAAAAATAAGCATACATTCCTTGTTTGTGGCTAAAGTCACAGAATCCAGTGTTTGGAATATTTTTCTGTTTGAATTTCCCTGACTATGATTATTTTGTGATTTTATCCATTTATCCCTTACTTTTGTAGGGCCTGGGACGCAGGGATCTATCTCATGAAGTTTTGACACGAAAAGTGAGTGAAGAGACTGATACCCTAATATGGCCCATAGATATGCCATAGACGAACAATGCTCAACAAATTCTCCAAGTACTCTCCTACATGTCCTAGCTTCCTTTGCCATTAAGTTGGGGTCATGGGACTAGTTCTGGCAAATGAATTGTGCAGAACTATGAGTACTACTTCTGGGCCAAGGCAGTTAGGAGACGACTTGCCTCTTTCATCTCTCTTTCTGGCTTGGAAGCCGTGTCTTGAGATGGTTGTCACAGCTGGGTGAATCCTGTTTTCTAAGTCCAAATGTTTCCCAAAAATCAGCATCACAGTTTTCAAGAAGAAGTAAGGTTTTCTGCCAAGCCATTGCAATTTTTGAAGCCCTTTTTAATTGCAGCTGCTGGAATTGGTTACTTTGATTAATAAAACAGGCAACTTATTTCTCCAGCAAGCAGAGGAAAATGAGCCTAAAGAAAGTCTCATTCCACACCACAGTTAGAAATGCAAGATATACTTCATTCCACTCACTACTATAGTATCACCATGTGTGAAGACCTAACAATCCTTCACATTTGCTTAACAATTTAGAAGTTACAAGAAATATTCATGTGTATTATCCCCTGTGATCTTCACTAAAAAGAAGCAGGATGACAATTACATTCCCTTTTAACCAATGAAGAAATTGAATAATGAAGTTAAATATCCTGCTCAATGTACCTAGCTACTTAAAAGAATGCATTCAGACTTCAGAGCTCCTTATTCCACTACAATCACATGTGTGTATGTATGCAAATACATAAAAATATATGTGTATGTGTGTGTGTAATTTGTCAATACAAACAATTAAATGCTGATTTCTTTTTCTCATAATTTGATTTCGAAGTTTCTCACCTGGAGTTCCCCAAAATATTGTTAATTATTTATATACAAAGTGACAGAGGATTATGGAAAAGATGGGGGTCTGCGAGTCAGAATATCTATGGATGAGTCTTGGCTATGCTACATGCAAGTTGTATGTCCTTAACTAATGCCTGGTTAACTAATGCCTCTGGGTTTCAGTTTCCTTATCTATGAAATAAAGTCACTGGGATAAAAAAAATCTCTAATTATCTTCACAGTTTGATATGCTATACTTTTATGTCAAAACTTCTAGATGATAGCTAAGCAGTAGCTTAGCAGTTTACTCCCCACTCTGAGAGCAGTCAATGATGATGATTATAACAAGGTTTTACAGATACATTTTTATAATTTAAGGAGATAGAATCAAGATATAGTTTAGAGAAAAGCTAGCAGATGGAGCTTTTAACTGTAAGTCTGTAAGTGGTAGTTAACTGTTGGCATTTTATTTTCAGGACAGTTGTTCCCATATAGCCTTGTCAGTAATAAAATAATGTTTCATTGTGCTATTAAAAAAAAGATATATTTTAAATGGACTTGATGATTATTTTAAGTCAGTATCTTTCAATGAAACCACTTGAAAATTTTCACCTTTTGAACTCCAGTTTTTAAGGTTATTTTTCAAGAGCCATAGGTAAAGTGCAATACAAAGACGTATTAATAGATGTTCATTCTCCCTTCATTATCAACTTCCTTCCTCACTCTAGGCAAGTAAATTTGCTCCTATATTCCTCATTTTTTGAAAACTTATTCGATTATATTTTCCTACTGCAAAAAATATCGTTATAAAGAGTTCTTAGAAAAATTATGAAAACACACATTTTTATTCTCTTGGCTCATAATGATTTGAATAATAATTTATTCAATGTGTTTTATTGATAATCTACTAAGTGTTCAGCCCTTTCCTTCACTTGGAGTATTTGGAAAACATTTTGATCTTCCTAGTCTATTCTATTCTCTACTGACTGTAATGGTCAAAGGAAGGATTCACTTCCAAAAATCAGTTACTTTTCATCAGCCTTGTGCTTAGGGAACGGTATGAAGTAGGCAACATTTAACTTCTTCTTGCCCAAGTTTCTCTTCCTGGACTCTTAGCTCTTCTTATACCTATTTTTAATATCTCAATAAACCTATTCCCTCCCAACTCTCTCCCATAACAGTAATCAGGCTCTCTTCTAATATATTGTTTCCCTCAATGTTCCCCTCCACCTGTAAAGGTATTTTTGGGGAAAGATCTGACAAATATATTCCTTCATATATGTAAATAATTGCAAGTATATAATAATTTAATAAGGGAATGTAGTGTATCAAACCCAAAGAAAAAACATGATTTAAATCTGTCTCTGAGTAGGTAGAATTTGAGATTTTAAAACCAAATTGTGAGGGAACAATTCTATTTATTGAAGGTACACTGTGCACCGGATGCTGATAATGGTGATTTCATGTATATTCTCTGCTTTTATCTGTATAGTAACCTCATGGTTAGATATTCCGCTTTTTGTATATATAGATAGAGAACTGTGTTTGAGAAAGATTAAGCAATATGCTAAAGGTTACAAAGTCCGTAAGTGGCAAAACTGGGATTCATATCCAGGTCTGCCTGCAAAATGTGCACTTTTCTTTTTAATTGCATTGTATCTTTGTGCTTCAGAAATGATGTTTTGGAAAGAGCTATAAACCCCTGAGGCTGGTCATGTTTAAAGCCCTACAGAAGTACACTTTTAACTTTCATTATTGCCATGTGACACTATTTAAATTTTAAAACTTCTCTCACAGTTTGAACCACATTTTCTCATTCAGTCTGGATCTCATATAAATGAAAATATTCTGCAAAAAAAAAAAAAAAAAAGAAAGGCAGCATTTAGAACACTACAACACAATGGTGATTACATTAAACACTACTTAAACCCCAGATTTATTTTTTTCAGCTTATGTAATGTAACTTTTACAAAAATATAAACTCCAATGAAAATAATACAAATTAATTTCCTTTTTCTGAAAGCCTCTTTCTAAAAGGATGAAATGAAAGCTTTATTGTTTCTATCTTCAAGGAGGATCTGGCCTATTTCATTTTTAGCTTTCTAGCCTCTGCAGCAAAACAAGCTACACTACATAAAGTTTGGAACTGGATAAGCCAATCAACTCGATCCAGTACACTGCTACATTTTATTGTGTTAGAATACCTTAAGGTTGAGATTGAACCTATGCGAAGTCTGAAGAAAGATTAAAAAATAATGGTGAGTTTGAAAGTATGAAGTCAAATATAAAGAACTTCCCAATTCTTTTTACCAAGACAGCACTAACCAACCTCATAATAAAGGAAAAGAAATGCAAAACAATCTCATTTATGAATGTAAGAGGAAAAAATCCTAAGAAAAATGTAAGCAGAACACATCGTGACATTAAAAATAACAATATACCATGACTCAATAGAGCTTTTTTCTTGAATGTATAGTTCAAAATTCAAAAAATCTGTTTACAGTTTTTCATATTAACAAGTATTAGTGTGTTAACACTAACAAGTTGAAGGCCATTTCAATAGGTGCAAATATATTCTGAAAAAAAATTCAACTTAATAACAATAGAATTTAAAAATTATCAGTTATTTACAAATTATTATTGAAATCCTTTTCCTCAAAATAATCCTAAGATTACCTAAAAGTATAACCTTTTAATAAAAGTTAATAAAAGGCTGAAAAATTCAAATCATTGCAAGATTCATTATAAATTTGCAGTACATAAAATGTCATGATACTGTTAAAGAAACAAACATACCAAGAAAATAAAATAGGGAATGTATAATAATATAAAATATAATATAATATTTATTAAAATGTATTATTCATTAATTTATTGATATCTGTCATTGATTTATTATTAATTATTAGTTAATTAATGTTTTACCATTTAGTATTTTGAGAAAGTGGTTACTCAGTATATTATTTTGTGACAAATATTGGGGCAAAAATTTAACAAAAGTTGAACTGTTATAAATCTCCAGATGGAGTTAACTAATTAGATAGAAAAATATATGTACATAACTACTGAGGGATAATTTAATTGATTATTTCTGCAATATTGTAGCAGGAAATTTTTTTTAAGGTTTCTCAAAAGCTATAAATTATCAAGGAAATGACTGCTAAATTAAAATATATTAAGACAAAAATGCTCTGTTGAGAAATTTGACTCTAAAAGGTGACCATTATATGTTCCAAGTGAAAAAGTCATTTAACAGAGCAGTGTGTATAATTGTATTCTATTTGTATCTGTGTATGTGCCTCAGTGTGAGTCAATCTCACTGTGACTTATACTTCTATAGAAGAAATGGCTTGAAGTCTATTCAGTGAAATGTTAGCAATTACTATCTCCCGGCAGTGGAATTATGTGTAGTTTTCATTTCCTTTCCATATTGTCTGACTCTTATATAATGATTACATACTGTGTTTACATATTTTTACAAAGCTATTTTAATCATTGAGAAGGATTACCTTTTGTTTGCTTAAGATAATGTTTATAATTTGTAGTCCTGATTAACTTTTGGATGAAAACAAGGGTAAAATCTGTTTTTTGAACATGTTATAGTTAGATCAGTAGCCTATGACTCTGAAATCCAAAACCTAAATCTTTTTTCTGAGACTTCGAGAGAAATTTTTCAGTCTATTCTCACTTGAAAAATAACTACAAGCTTCAGCATGTACCTCGCCTATACAACCAACGTTAAATGTGTCTCTATTCCAAATGTGCATTCCAAAGTGCAGAAACACATTCAAACATTGTGCAAACTAAAGACTATTACAATTGAAAAGAACAACATAAACAATGTTTTCTATCAAGTCATAGCTCAGGTTAATATTATTTTTATTGTGGTAAAATTTTGTGTTTATAAAAAATCATTTTATGCAATGTAAAATATCTTATATTAATTGATGTAAAGTTATTTTATACTAATGCAAAAACATTTTTTAAGGCACCCCTCTGTGAAAACATTCCTTACTACCATTCCCATTTACCACTCAATTGAGGTTATTCTCTGTCTCCAAGTTTTTCCTATTACATTTTGCTTAACCTTTACTCTGTTTTTCATTATGCCATACTGTACTGTACATTTCTCCATTGAATTTTAAGCTGCCTGTAAGGACATACTATATGCGTTTTTGTCATGCTGATAGCTTCTCATACAGAGCATAGTATACAATGTAAGTGTTCAGCAAATATTTATTGGATTGACTTGAATAATCAAAAATATTAACGTTGCATGGTATCTATCATCTACCTAATCATATGTCTATCATTTTTCATCTGTCTATCTTTCTGATACAAACAATTTGGGGTTAATGTCATTTCCAGGGAAAATAAAAATGTAATAAAATTTGTTAGTACATGTAGTTCTACTATAAAGGATAATTTATCAATCCATATAGCCAGTGGGATTATTTAAAATGTTTAGTGTAATTGGAACCCTGCCAATACATTTAAGATTATGAAATTCTCACAGAGTTTAGTAGATTTGGCCATTTAATTTGTTCCCTAAATATTTATTAAACATTTTTTTAAAAAACTCTGAGTGTTACATTAAACCCTGGGAACTCAAAGACTAATATGGCATGGTACCTAAACTGAAGAGGCTTACAGATTTTTGGTTCGGACACAACATTCATCAAAAGTCACTGAAAGGCATACGGGTGCTACAAGCTAGACGTTGGGGTACTAGTCCTATGGGGTACTTATGAGGAGTGTGAATCTAGGTTGGGGTATTCTGGAGTCCTTCTTAGAATGGAGTCAGTGCGTGTAGACATTCAAAACCATGTGTACGTGCTTTGCAAACTGTAAGTAGTATGTAAATATAGTCCAGCATTATTGATAAATACATTTGCTGAAGAAGTCTGCCTCTGAAAAAAGTCAGTTAAACTCTCTGAAGTGAAAAATGATTAACCATCTTTTCTAAAGCCAGCATTCCTTTCTTCTTGAATGGAATTCTAGACCATGATCTAGTGACTAACTGGAAAACTAAGAGTATCAATGTTAAGGGAGTATCAAGAAAAGTAGAAGCAGAAAAAATTATTGACGTGTTGGGCACAGAATTTAAGTCACCTGGTTCAGTGCCACACATTGTAGATATTAAATATTTTATATTCAGTGACAGTCATAAACTTGTCCATTGTGTGTAAATAGTATTATGACTTTAACTCTGTGCACATTAGAATACAGTTCAGTTGGCGGGGAGGAGCCAAGATGGCCGAATAGGAATAGCTCCGGTCTACAGCTCCCAGCGTGAGCAACGCAGAAGACGGGTGATTTCTGCATTTCCATCTGAGGTACGGGGTTAATCTCACTAGGGAGTGCCAGACAGTGGGCGCAGGTCAGTGGGTGCCCGCACCGTGCGCCAGCCGAAGCAGGGCGAGGCATTGCCTCACTTGGGAAGCGCAAGGGGTCAGGGAGTTCCCTTTCTGAGTCAAAGAAAGGGGTGACCGACGCACCTGGAAAATCGGGTCACTCCCACCCGAATACTGCACTTTGCCTACCGGCTTAAAAAACGGCGCACCACGAGATTATACCTCGCACCTGGCTCGGAGGGTCCTACGCCCACCGAGTCTCGCTGATTGCTAGCACAGCAGTCTGAGATCAAACTGCAAGGAGGCAGCGAGGCTGGGGGAGGGGTGCCCGCTATTGCCCAGGCTTGATTAGGTAAACAAAGCAGCCTGGAAGCTCGAACTGGGTGGAGCCCACCACAGCTCAAGGAGGCCTGCCTGCCTCTGTAGGCTCCACCTCTGAGGGCAGGGCACAGACAAACAAAAAGACAGCAGTAACCTCTGCAGACTTAAATGTCCCTGTCTGACAGCTTTGAAGAGAGCAGTGGTTCTCCCAGCACGCAGCTGGAGATCTGAGAACGGGCAGACTGCCTCCTCAAGTGGGTCCCTGACCCCTGACCCCCGAGCAGCCTAACTCGGAGGCACCCCCCAGCAGGGGCACACTGACACCTCACACAGCCAGGTACTCCAACAGACCTGCAGCTGAGGGTCCTCTCTGTTAGAAGGAAAACTAACAAACAGAAAGGACATCCACACCAAAAACCCATCTGTACATCACCATCATCAAAGACCAAAAGTAGATAAAACCACAAAGATGGGGAAAAAACAGAACAGAAAAACTGGAAACTCTAAAAAGCAGAGTGCCTCTCCTCCTCCAAAGGAACGCAGTTCCTCACCAGCAACGGAACAAAGCTGGACGGACAATGACTTTGACGAGCTGAGAGAAGAAGGCTTCAGACGATCAAATTACTCTGAGCTATGGGAGGACATTCAAACCAAAGGCAAAGAAGTTGAAAACTTGAAAAAAATTTAGAAGAATGTATAACTAGAATAACCAATACAGAGAAGTGCTTAAAGGAGCTGATGGAGCTGAAAACCAAGGCTCAAGAACTACATGAAGAATGCAGAAGCCTCAGGAGCCGACGCGATCAACTGGAAGAAAGGGTATCAGCGATGGAAGATGAAATGAATGAAATGAAGTGAGAAGGGAAGTTTAGAGAAAAAAGAATAAAAAGAAATGAGCAAAGCCTCCAAGAAATATGGGACTATGTGAAAAGACCAAATCTACATCTGATTGGTGTACCTGGAAGTGATGGGGAGAATGGAACCAAGTTGGAAAACACTCTGCCGGATATTATCCAGGAGAACTTCCCCAATCTAGCAAGGCAGGCCAACGTTCAGATTCAGGAAATACAGAGAATGCCACAAAGATACTCCTCGAGAAGAGCAACTCCAAGACACATAATTGTCAGATTTACCAAAGTTGAAATGAAGGAAAAAATGTTAAGGGCAGCCAGAGAGAAAGGTCGAGTTACCCTCAAAGGGAAGCCCATCAGACTAACAGCGGATCTCTCGGCAGAAACCCTACAAGCCAGAAGAGAGTGGGGGCCAATATTCAACATTCTTAAAGAAAAGAATTTTCAACCCAGAATTTCATATCCAGCCAAACTAAGCTTCATAAGTGAAGGAGAAATAAAATACTTTACAGACAAGCAAATGCTGAGAGATTTTGTCACCACCAGGCCTGCCTTACAAGAGCTCCTGAAGGAAGCGCTAAACATGGAAAGGAACATACAGTACCAGCCGCTGCAAAATTATGCCAAAATGTAAAGACCATCGAGACTAGGAAGAAACTGCATCAACTAACGAGCAAAATCACCAGCTAACATCATAATGACAGGATCAAATTCAAACATAACAGTATTAACTTTAAATGTAAATGCACTAAATGCTCCAATTAAAAGACACAGACTGGCAAATTGGATAAAGAGTCAAGACCCATCAGTGTGCTGTATTCAGGAAACCCATCTCACATGCAGAGACACACATAGGCTCAAAATAAAAGGATGGAGGAAGATCTACCAAGCAAATGGAAAACAAAAAAAGGCAGGGGTTGCAATCCTAGTCTCTGATAAAACAGTCTTTAAATCAACAAAGATCAAAAGAGACAAAGAAGGCCATTACATAATGGTAAAGGGATCAATTCAACAAGAAGAGCTAACTATCCTAAATCTATATGCACCCAAGACAGGAGCACCCAGATTCATAAAGCAAGTCCTGAGTGACCTACAAAGAGACTTAGACTCCCACACATTAATAATGGGAGACTTTAACACCACACTGTCAACATTAGACAGATCAACGAGACAGAAAGTCAACAAGGATACCCAGGAATTGAACTCAGCTCTGCACCAAGCGGACCTAATAGACATCTACAGAACTCTCCACCCCAAATCAACAGAATATACATTTTTTTCAGCACCACAACACACCTATTCCAAAATTGACCACATACTGGGAAGTAAAGCTCTCCTCAGCAAATGTAAAAGAACAGAAATTATAACAAACTATCTCACAGACCACAGTGCAATCAAACTAGAACTCAGGATTAAGAATCTCACTCAAAACCGCTCAACTACATGGAAACTGAACAACCTGCTCCTGAATGACTACTGGGTACATAACGAAATGAAGGCAGAAATAAAGATGTTCTTTGAAACCAACGAGAACAAAGACACAACATACCAGAATCTCTGGGACACATTCAAAGCAGTGTGTAGAGGGAAATTTATAGCACTAAATGCCCACAGGAGAAAGCAGGAAAGATCCAAAATTGACACCCTAACATCACAATTAAAAGAACTAGAAAAGCAAGAGCAAACACATTCAAAAGCTAGCAGAAGGCAAGAAATAACTAAAATCAGAGCAGAACTGAAGGAAATAGAGACACAAAAAACCCTTCAAAAAATTAATGAATCCAGGAGCTGGTTTTTTGAAAGGATCAACAAAATTGATAGACTGCTAGCAAGACTAATAAAGAAAAAAAGAGAGAAGAATCAAATAGACACAATAAAAAATGATAAAGGGGATATCACCACCGATCCCACAGAAATACAAACTACCATCAGGGAATACTACAAACACCTCTACGCAAATAAACTAGAAAATCTAGAAGAAATGCATAAATTCCTGAACACATACACTCTCCCAAGACTAAACCAGGAAGAAGTTCAATCTCTGAATAGACCAATAACAGGAGCTGAAATTGTGGCAATAATCAATAGCTTACCAACCAAAAAGAGTCCAGGACCAGATGGATTCACAGCCGAATTCTACCAGAGGTACAAGGAGGAACTGGTACCATTCCTTCTGAAACTATTCCAATCAATAGAAAAAGAGGGAATCCTCCCTAACTCATTTTATGAGGCCAGCATTATTCTGATACCAAAGCCAGGCAGAGACACAACAAAAAAATAGAATTTTAGACCAATATCCTTGATGAACATTGATGCAAAAATCCTCAATAAAATACTGGCAAACCGAATCCAGCAGCACATCAAAAAGCTTATCCACCATGATCAAGTGGGCTTCATCCCTGGGATGCAAGGCTGGTTCAATATACACAAATCAATAAATGTAATCCAGCATATAAACAGAACCAAAGACAAAAACCACATGAGTATCTCAATAGATGCAGAAAAAGCCTTTGACAAAATTCAACAACCATTCATGCTAAAAACTCTCAATAAATTAGGTATTGATGGGACGTATTTCAAAATAATAAGAGCTATCTATGACAAACCCACAGCCAATATCATACTGAATGGGCAAAAACTGGAAGCATTCCCTTTGAAAACTGGCACAAGACAGGGATGCCCTCTCTCACCACTCCTATTCAACATAGTGTTGGAAGTTCTGGCCAGGGCAATTAGGCAGGAGAAGGAAATAAAGGGTATTCAATTAGGAAAAGAGGAAGTCAAATTGTCACTGTTTGCAGACAACATGATTGTATATCTAGAAAACCCCATTGTCTCAGCCCAAAAGCTCCTTAAGCTGATAAGCAACTTCAGCAAAGTCTCAGGATACAAAATCAATGTACAAAAATCACAAGCATTCTTATACACCAATAACAGACAAACAGAGAGCCAAATCAAGAGTGAACTCCCATTCACAACTGCTTCAAAGAGAATAAAATACCTAGGAATCCAACTTACAAGGGATGTGAAGGACCTCTTCAAGGAGAACTACAGACCACTGCTCAAGGAAATAAAAGAGGATACAAACAAATGGAAGAACATTCCATGCTCATGGGTAGGAAGAATCAATATCGTGAAAATGGCCATACTGCCCAAGGTAATTTACAGATTCAATGCCATCCCCATCAAGCTACCAATGACTTTCTTCACAGAATTGGAAAAAACTACTTTAAAGTTCATATGGAACCAAAAAAGAGCCCGCATCTCCAAGTCAATCGTAAGCCAAAAGAACAAAGCTGGAGGCATCACACTACCTGACTTCAAACTATACTACAAGGCTACAGTAACCAAAACAGCATGGTACTGGTACCAAAACAGAGATATACATCAATGGAACAGAACAGAGCCCTCAGAAATAACGCCGCATATCTACAACTATCTGATCTTTGACAAACCTGAGAAAAACAAGCAATGGGGAAAGGATTCCCTATTTAATAAATGGTGCTGGGAAAACTGGCTAGCCATATGTAGAAAGCTGAAACTGGATCCCCTCCTTACACTTTATACAAAAATCAATTCAAGATGGATTAAAGACTTAAACATTAGACCTAAAACCATAAAAACCCTAGAAGAAAACCTAGGCATTACCATTTAGGACATAGGCATGGGCAAGGACTTCATGTCTAAAACACCGAAAGCAATGGCAACAAAAGCCAAAATTGACAAATGGGATCTAATTAAACTAAAGAGCTTCTGCACAGCAAAAGAAACTACCATATGAGTGAACAGGCAACCTACAAAATGGGAGAAAATTTTCGCAACCTACTCATCTGACAAAGGGCTAATATCCAGAATCTACAATGAACTCAAACAAATTTACAAGAAAAAAACAAACAACCCCATCAAAAAGTGGGTGAAGGACATGAACAGACACTTCTCAAAAGAAGACATTTATGCAGCCAAAAAACACATGAAAAAATACTCATCATCACTGGCCATCAGAGAAATGCAAATCAAAACCACAATGAGATACCATCTCACACCAGTTAGAATGGCAATCATTAAAAAGTCAGGAAACAACAGGTGCTGGAGAGGATGTGGAGAAATAGGAACACTTTTACACTGTTGGTGGGACTGTAAACCAGTTCAACCATTGTGGAAGTCAGTGTGGCGATTCCTCAGGGATCTAGAACTAGAAATACCATTTGACCCAGCCATCCCATTACTGGGTATATACCCAAAGGACTATAAATCATGCTGCTATAAAGACACATGCACACGTATGTTTATTGCGGCATTATTCACAATAGCAAAGACTTGGAACCAACCCAAATGTCCAACAATGATAGAGTGGATTAAGAAAATGTGGCACATATACACCATGGAATACTATGCAGCCATAAAAAATGATGAGTTCATGTCCTTTGTAGGGACATGGATGAAATTGGAAATAATCATTCTCAGTAAACTATCGCAAGAACAAAAAACCAAACACCGCATATTCTCACTCATAGGTGGGAACTGAACAATGAGATCACATGGACACAGGAAGGGGAATATCACGCTCTGGGGACTGTTGTGGGGTGGGGGGAGGGGGGAGGGATAGCATCGGGAGATATACCTAATGCTAGATGACGAGTTAATGGGTGCAGCGCACCAGCATGGCACATGTATACATATGTAACTAACCTGCACTATGTGCACATGTACCCTAAAACTTAAAGTATAATAAAAAAAAAATAAAGAATACAGTTCAGTTGACGCAATCTTAAAACTATGTGTGCTTAATTTAATGCATGGACACATAGGTCTCATCAAATTATAAAGAAGATTACAAGGCTAATAAAATTAAAACCAACATCAATATATTGTAATGGTTGTTCTTGTCCGGTTGAAAGTTAATAGCTGATGTTGGTTTTAATGGTAGGGAAATAGTACCTCAGGTTCAGTTCCGTGCTTAAGCAATAACTGCATTTTGACTTTAATAATACTAATGTGGTGATAGCAATGACTTCAATCAGCACACATCCTTAATCAGAATTTACCAGTGAGCTGCAGGTGCTAATTTAAATGTAATAGCAATTGATAAATCTTTAAACTTGTTCACATGAAAGTAAAGTTAGCACTGCTACATTATTAAAATGTGCATTAAAAATACATCAATTTTGATTACTTACGCAATTTGGAAAACAAAATGTTTTTGTTTCATGTTAACATTTCCACCACCTGCAAAAAAGAGGACGTTTTTCTCTAGTATAGATTTAACTTTTCAGTTTGCAGTATTGATGTGATTCTGTCTTGCATTAAAACACAATCTTCCTACCACATTTTTCTCTCTTCAGACTACCTGTAAAATATTTGATTTTTATGGTGTGCTGTGAGCTCATGCACCTTTCATGTGGTGACAATATTTCATGTGGTGATGATTACTTTTTAAAAGCAATCCCAAATATGGGCAGAAAAATTGTGGTGTAGTACTTGGATATACAGTGTTTGATAAATATATACTCATATTAATATTTTAAGTTTAGCGTCAAAATGAAACCTCAAATATAAAAATTTATCATAGATAAACTCAACATTCGGGAATGTTCAACAGAAAAGCACATACTTCCATTTGAGAATAAGTAATTGAGAACCTAAAGGAATAATTTATAAACTTTTTTTAACCCTAGAAATATTATTCAAGCAAATTCTGATGTGGCTATCCAAATGTAAACAGATGCCATTCTTTCATCCCACTTGTATTAATTTCCATTCAATCTTTTCCTAGAGAGTGAAAGAGACAGTGGAAAGATATGACAAATATAAAAAAAATTGTGAACTATCAACTTTAATCTTCATTACGAATCCTTTTCATGTACTGAGTATTCTCTAAACAACCAGATAGATATTCGAAGACTCCGTACCTTTCAGAAGTTTATAGAGATTGGCATTGACATCAACCAGATAATCAAGAGTTAAAAAGGTAATAGCACTAGTTCTGGCTCGCTATTTGGCTAAAGCTAGTCTAGATTTTAGCCACACCAGCAAAGCACTACTTTGATCTTTTGAGCACTGTTGGACGAGCAGAACTACAGGTTGTTGGCCATTAGGAGTTTAGGCTGCTGTATTAATATTACTATCATTATCTGAGTAAATATAAGTGACAGAACAAGCATCAGAAAATTATCTTACTGAGTCACCTTTCCTTATCATGGTAATATAAATAATTTGAAAAATCTAGGTTATAAACTCTTGGTATTAAATGCTTTCATTAAGTCTCTACTATAAGTCAATATTCTTAAAATTCACTTGGGAAATTTTTACTTCAGATACACAATTAAGTTTTCTTTCCCATAATTATTATCTTCAAATATCTTTTGTTGGCCTTATCTTTTAAATTTTTTAAAAATTTGTAATAAAATGCTTAGACACACAGATAGGAAGAATGAATACTATAATGTTACCACATGGCTTAAGAAATAAATTACCATTAGATTTTAAACCCATAGTGTATCCCTTCCAGAACATATGTACCTCCTTTCCTAACATGAAATCATGATCTTGTTTCTTATCATTTCCATAAATCTCTTTCTAATTTTATTACATGTACATTTGCATTCGAGTTCATAGATAAAAACAGAACCAATAGGAGATACATATATATATATACACACACACACAGTCCCCTATTGGTTATATACATGTGTCCCCTATTTGTTTTATATATATATACACACACACACACATATACACACACACACACACACACACATACATGAAAAGAAAGAGAGATTTTAAGGAAATGAGGAATTGTCTTGCATGATTATGGGAGCTAGCAAGTCCAGAATACATAGGTTAGGCTGACAGGCTGGGGATTCAGATAAAAGTTGATATTTCAGCCTTGAGTCTAAAGGCTGAAAACTCAGACAGAATTTCTATGTTGCAGCCTGGAGGCAGAAATCCTTTCTCTTTGGGAAACCTAAGTCTTTGCTCTTAAGGTCTCAAATGACTAGAAAAGACACAGCCACATTATTTAGGGAAATCTGGTTTATTTAAAGTCAATTGATTATAAATGTTGATCATATCTTAAAAATACCTTTATAACAACATCTAGACTGTGTTTGACCAAACAACTGGTGTCCATAATCTAGTCAATTTGACACACAAAATTAACCATCATAGCTTGTATCCTTAAAAATAAGGATTTTAAATATTATTTTGCATATTTTAAGCTTTAAATAAATGGTATAAAACATTAGATGTTGATTTGCTACTTGCTTTTTCTCTTTTGTATTTATTTATAAAACCCATTCATGTGACAATTTGTGGCAAGCATTTGATCATTTTTAACAGTATAAAATTTTTACATATTTTTGGGCATTCTCCTGGTGATGAACAGTGGGTTGTCTCCAGTTGTTTGTGGTTATAAACAGTGCTGCTATGAACATCCTTGTCCATGTATCTTAACAAGCATATACTAGAATTTCTAAGAATGGAATTGCTTCAAGAGATACACACTTTTTATTAGTCTTTCCTAAATGGTGCCAAATTGTTGAACAAGCCTTCAATCTCTGGTGCAGAACTCTAGCACCAGCTATTTTTTAGAATTTATAATGTGTAGGTTTCAGGAAGGTAATATGATAGTTATCCCCATATATCATGTAACAATCTAACAGGCACTGCAGCAGCATCCAATACAGTGTTAGTATTTTTGCAATGAAAGGTACAAATAATCACAAGTAGGATTAAAAATATAAATATCTTAACATCAGTTAGGATCAGATTTTGCTTACAAATAAGGTTAAGTCAAGTTAGATCTTACTGCAAAGTGAATAATGAAAAACAATCAGTTATTAGATTGTTTTTGAGTTTTGAATTGTAAATAAAGACCTCATGTGTACCACATAATTGCCTAAAATTTGTTATCACGATTATGTTATTTATGCCAGTCTAATGTAAATGAAATATTTGAAAATGTGGTTTACACTGGCATTTTTCTGATGACGCTAGGCATATTTTATTCTACTTTCTGGACATTTGGGTTTCCTCATCTGTGAGTTGCTTATTTGTATGTTTTGCCATTTTTAAAATTGTTTTGCTTGTCTTTTAAAAAAATTGGTTTATAGAAGTTTTACATATATTCTTATATTAATCCTTTGTTATACAACTTACAAATATCTTCTTCCAGTTTGTGGCCTACCTTTTCACTTTTAATAGTGTCTTTATGCACGTGTGTGTGTGTTTCCCACAGAATTTTCATAATGAATCTTTATCCTAATATTATTTATCAGTCTTTTCCTTTGCAGTATGTGCTCTCTGTAACTTATTTAAGAAATCCTTTTATTCTCTGACTTTACTAAAATATGCTCCTAATTCTCTTTTAAAAGCTTTAAATTTTGCCTCTTAGATTTAGGTCTTTAATTTTCACAGACTTAACATTTAAATACTTTATGAGCAAGCGATCCAACTTCATTTAATTCCATGTCCATGTGGATAACCAGCTGTCCTAGAATCATACATTGAATAGTTCATTCTTTTCCTACTGAATATTTTTTTAATTTTTGTGGGTATATAGTAGGTATAAATATTTATGGGGTACATGAGATGTTCTAGTATAGGCATGTAATGTGAAGTAAACACATCATGGAGAACGGGGTATCCATCCCCTCAGGCATTTATCTTTTGAATTACAAAAAATCCAATTACATTCTTTATTTAAAAATATACAATTAAGTTATTATTGACTATAGTGTTCTTATTGTGCTATCATATAGTAGGTCTTATTCATTCTTCCTAATTTTTTTGGACCCATTAACCATCCCCACCTCCTCTCTCATCCCCCCACCATATTTCTCAGCCTCTGGTAAGTATCCTTTTACTCTCTATGTCCATGAGATCAATTGATTTGATTTTTAGATTCCACAAGTAAGTGAGAACATTTGATGTTTGTCTTTCTGTATCTGGTTTATTTCACTTAACTAATGATCTCCAGTGCCATTCATGTTGTTGCAAATGATGGGATCTCATTCTTTTTTATGGCTGACTAGTACCACACTGGGTGTATGTACCACATTTTCTTTCTTGTTTTTTTGTTTTTGTTTTTGTTTTTGTTTTTTACTAAAATAAGGTTATTTACTTCAATATGATACATTGGATATAATCTGTATATAGAACAAAGCAAGCAATGGTAAACTTAGTAAGGCACCTTTTAAACCAGATGCTATACAAAATACATTTAGTGTGTTACATATCAAAGACAAATCTATGTTTTTGGCGTTTTACAATTGCCTGATAAAACTGCTTGCTTTTATCCTTCTTTCAATGCCAATGTACAGTTTTCCCTAATGAAGCAATAATGATATTTCCATTTTATACAATATATGCTACATTTTAGTTTTAAATGAGCCAGGACAAAGGTCACTAAAAGGGCTTAAATAATTCCATAGAAAACAGAATACAGAGCATAAGCTAAAATTACAATAGTTAATCCTTTGCAAGAGCCATATTCACATACTTTCCTTATGGGACCATCATTACCTTTATCCATTGATCTGTTGACGGACACTTAGGGTGTTTCCAAACCTTAGCTGTTGTAAACAGTGCTGCAACAAACAGGAGTGCAGATATTTCTTCCATATACTGATTCCTTTCTTTGGGGTATATACCCAGTAGTGGGATTGCTAGATCATATGGTAGCTCAATTTTTAGTTTTTTTGAGGAACCTCCAAACTGTTCTCCATAGTGGTCATATTAATTTACATTCCTGCCAACAGTGTACAACTTTCCCTTTTCTCCACATCTTCTCCAGCATTTGTTATTGCCTGTCTTTTCGATATAAGCCATTTAAATGGGGGTGAGATAATATCTCATTGTTGTTTTTATTTGCATTTCTCTGATGATCAATGATGTTGAGCACCTTTTCATGTGCCTGATTTGCCATTTGTATGTCTTCTTTTGAGAAATGTTTATTCAAATATTTTGCCTTTTTTTGGATCAGATTATTAGATTTTTTCCTATGGAGTTGTTTGAGCTCTTTATATATTGATTATTAATCCCTTGTCAGAAGGATAGTTTGTAAATATTTTCTCTCATTCTGTGGGTTGTCGCTTCAAGAAATTTTTGCCCAAAACAATGTCTTGGAGGTTTTCCCCAATGCTTTCTTGTAATAGTTGCATAGTTTGAGTTGTTAGATGTAAGTCTTTAATCTATTTTGACTTTATTTTTGCACATGGCAAGAGATAGGGGTCTAGTTTCATTCTTTTGCATGTGGATATCCAGTTTTTCCAGCACCATTTATTGAAAAGACTGTATTTTCCTCAGTGTATGTTCTGGGCACCTTTGTTAAAATAAGTTCTCTGTAGTTGTGTAGATTTGTTTCTGTGTTCTGTATTCTGTTCCACTGGTCTATGTGTCTCTTTTTATGTCAGTACCATGCTGCTATGGTTACTATACCTCTGTAGTATAACTTGAAGTCAGGTAAAGTGATTCCTCCAGTTTTGTTCTTTTTGCTTAGGATGTGTTTGGCTATTCTGGGCCTTTTGTGGTTCTGTGTAGATTTTAGGATTGTTTTTTCTATTTCTGTGAAGAATGTTATTGGTATTTTGATAAGGACTGCATTGAAACTGTAGATTGCTTTGAGTGGTATGAACATTTTAACAATATTGATTCTGCCAATTCATGAGCATGGAATTTTTTATTCATATTTTCGTGTCCTCATCAATTTTCATCAGTGTTTTATAGTTTTCATTATAGAGCTCTTTCACTTCTTTGGATATTTCCTAGGTATTTAACCTCACGTGTGGCTATTGTAAATAAGATTTCTTTTTTGATTTCTTTTTCAAATTGTTCACTGTTGGCATATAAAAATGCTACTGATTTCAGTAAGCTGATTTTGTATCCTGCAACTTTACTGAATTTGTTTATAAGTTTTAATAGGTTTCTTGTATAGTCATTAGGTTTTTTCCAAATATAGATCATATTATTAGCAAACAAGGATAATTTGACTTCTTTCTTTCTAATTTGCTTCCCTTTATTTCTCTCTCTTGTCTGATTGTTCTAGCTAGGACTTCCAGTACTATATTGAATAACAGCGGTGACAGTGGATATCCTTGTCATGCTCCAGATTGCAGATAAAATGCTTTCAGTTTTTCCCCATTCAGTATAATACTACCTGTATTATATAGACTTTGTGGGTCTGTCATATATGGCTTGCTTTTATTATGTTAAGTTGTATTCCTTCTATACTCATTTTTTTAGTTATTTTTAATAATAACGAATGTTGAATTTAATCAAATGCTTTTTCAGCATCAATTGAAATGATCATTTAGTTTTTATTCTTAATTCTGCTGATATAATATAATGTATCATATTAATTGGTTTGTGTATGTTGAACCATCCATGCATCCCAGGGATAAATCCCACTTGCTCGCAATGAATAATCTTTCTAATGTATTGTTAAATTCAGGTTGCTAATATTTTGTTGAGGCTTTTTGTATCAATATTCATCAGAGGGTCAGGCAAGATGGCTCACACCTATAATCCCAGCACTTTAGGAGGCTGAGGCAGGTGGATCACCTGAGGTCAGGAGTGTAAGTCCAGCCTGGCCAACATGGTGAAACCCTGTCTCTACTAAAAATACAAGAATTAGCCAGGCATGGTGGCAGATGCCTGTAATCCCAGCTACTTGTGAGGCTGAGGCAGGAGAATTGCTTGCACCTAGGAGGAGGAGGTTGCCATGAGCCTAGATCACTCCATTGCACTCCAGCCTGGGTGACAAGAGCTAGACTCCATTTCAAAAAAAAAAAAAAAAAGTTGAGATATTGGCCTGTCTACACATTTGATGTGTCTTTGTCTGGTTTTGGTATCAGGGTAATACTGGCCTTGTAGAATAAGTTTGGAAGTATTCACCTCTCCTCTATTTTCTGGAGTAGTTTGAGGAGACTTGATATTAGTTCTTTAACGTTTGGTAGAATTCAGCAGTGAAGCCATCAGGCCCCGGGCTTTTCTTTAATGAAAGACTTTTTATTGTGGCTTCAATCTCATTACTTGTGATTGGTCTACTCAGGTTTTGGATTTCTTCCTTTTTCAATCTTGGAAGTTTACGTGTCTAGGAATTTGACCATTTCTTCTAGATTTTCCAATGTATTGGCATATGGCTGCTCATAGTAGCCACAAATGATCCTTTGAATTTCTGCAGTATCAGTTGTAATGTCTCCTTTTTCATTTCTAATTTTATTTATTTGGATCTTCTCTCTTTTTTCCTTAGTTAATCTGGCTAAAGGTTTGTCAATTTTGTTTTTTTTTACAAAATTTTTTTTTTACAATTTTCTTTTTTTTGCAAAAAACAACTTTTCGTTTCTCTGATCTTTTTATGGCTTTTTTTATTTCAGTGTCATATATTTCTGCTCTGATCTTTATTATTTATCTTTTACTAGTTTTGAGTTTGGTTTGCTCTTGATTTTCTAGTTCTTTAAGATTCATCAATAGATTATTTATTATAAGTTTTTCCTTTCATGTGATGTAGGCACTTATAAACTTTCCTCTGAGTACTGCTTTTAATGTAGCTTATAGGTTTGGGTATATTGTTTTCAATACTATTTGTTTCAAGAAATTTTTCTGTTTCCTTTTTAATTTCTTCATTGACCTACTGGTCATTCAGGAGCATATTGTTTAATTTCCATGTATTTATACAGTTTCCAAAATTCCCCTTGTTATTAATTTCTAGGGTTATTCCATTGTGGTCAGAAAAGGTGCTTGATAATCTTCAACATAATTGAAGATAATATTTCAACTTTTTGATGATATTTCAATTGTTTTGAAAGTTTTAGGACTTGCTTTATGATCTAATATATGGTATTTCCTTGAGAATGATTCACGTGCTGAGGAAAGGAATGTAGTTCTTGGATGAAATGTTCTGTAAATAAACCGAAAATCCATTCGGTCATTATAGCGCAGATTAAGTCTAATGTTTCTTTGTTGATTTTCTGCCTGAAAGATCTGTCCAATGTTGAAAGTGGGGTGTTGAAGTCTCCAGCTATAATTGTATTAGGCTTATCTCTCTTTAGCTCTAATATATCCTTTATATATCTGGGTACTCCTGTATTGGGTGCATATATATTTAAAATTGTTATATCCTCTTGTTGAAGTGACCCCTTTATCATTATATAGTGACCTTGGTTGTCTCTTCTTATAGTTTTTGTCCTGAAATCTATTTTGTCAGATATAAGTATACTGACTCCTGCTTTTTATTTTTTGTTTTTTGGCTTCTATTGACATGGAATATTTTTCTCTATCATTTTAATTTCAGTCTTTGTGTGTCTTTATGGGTGAAGTGTGTTCTTCTAGGCAACAGATTAATGGGTCTTATTTTTTTATCCATTCAGTCAGTCTACGTCTTTTGATTTGAGAGTTTGGTCCATTTACATTCAATGTTATTGTTGACAAGTAAGGATGTACTTCTGCCATTTTGTTATTTGTTTTCTGGTTGTTCTATGGCCTTCTCTTCCTTCTTTCTTTCATTTCTCTCTTTCTCTATTGAAGATGATTTTCTATGGTGATATGATTTAGTTTTTGCTTTTTATTTTTTGTGTATTCATTGTATGTTTCTTGAAGTTATCATGAGGCTTGCAAATACTATCTTATAACTCATTATTTTAACCTGATAACAACTTAAGACTATTTGCATAAAGAAACAAACAAGCGAGAAGAAAACTAATAAAAACTTGGCTTAACTTTGTGCCTCCCCTTTTTAACTTTTTGTTGTTTCTATTTATATCTTATTGTACTGATTATGTCCTGAAATGTTGTTGTAGTTATTATTTTTGGTTGATTCATTGTTTAGTCTTTCTACTTAATTCTGTGTTTTTCTGTCTACTTACTACTAACAGTAAGTTTTGTGCCTTCAGGTGATTGTTTATTGCTCATTAATGTTCTTTTCTTTCTGATTGAAGTACTCCCTTTAGCATTTCTTGTAGGATGGGTTTGGTACTGATAAAATCCCTCAGCTTTTGTTTGTCTGGGAAAGTCTTTATTTCTCCTTCATGTTTGAAGACTATCTTTGCTGAATATACTATTCTAGGATAATAGTTTTTTTTTTTCCTTCAGCACTTTAAATATGTCATGACAGTCTCTCCTGGCCTATAAGGTTTCCACTGAGAAGTCTGCAGCCAGATGTATTGGAGCTTCAATGTATGTCATTTGCTTCTTTTATCTTGCTGCTTTTAGGATCCTTTCTTTATACTTGGCCTTTGGGAGTTTTCTTTTTTATTATTAAATGCCTTGAAGAAGTCTTATTTGAGTTAAATTTGCTTGGTGTTCTATAACCTTCTTGTACTTGGATATTGATATATTTCTCTACATTTGGGAAGTTCTCTATAAACCTTTTGAATAAATTTTCTACACCCATCTCTTTCTCTACCTCCCCTTTAAGGTCAAAAACTCTTAGATTTCCCCATTAGGGGCTATTTTCTAGATCCTGTAGGCATGCTTCATCTTTTAAATTATTTTTTCTTTTGTTTCCTCTGACTGTGTATTTTCAAATAGCCTGTCTTCAATCTCACTAATTCTTTCTTCTGCTTGATCCATTCTGTTATTAAAGGACCTGATGCATGCTTCAGTATGCCCATTGCTTTTTTCAGCTCCAGGATTTCTGCTTGATTCTTTTAAGTTATTTGAATCTCTTTGTTAAGTTTATCTTATGGAACTCTAAATTCCTTCTCTGTGTTATCTCGAAATTCTTTTGGTTTCCTCAACACAGCTATTTTGAATTCTGTGTCTTAAGGGTCACATATCTCTGTTTCTCCAGGATTAGTCCCTGGTGCCTTATTTAGTTCATTTGGTGAGATCATGTTTTCCTAGATGGTGCTGATAATAATAGATGTTCTTTGGTATGTGGGCATTAAAAAGCTAGTTATTTATTGTAGTCTTCACTGTCTAGGCTTATTTGTAGCTGTCCTTCCTGGATATTTGAACAGATTTCGGTGATGTGATTTAAGCTGTTTCTGCTTCAGGGAGAACCACAAGCCTAGTAATGCTGTGGTTCTTGTAGACTCATAGAGGTACCATCTTGATGGTCTTGGACAAGATACAAGAGAATTATCTGGATTATCAAGAAGAGACTCTTGTTCTCTTCCCTTACTTTCTCCCAAACTTACAGAGTCTCTCTCTCTTTGTTCTGAACCATCTAAAGCTGGTAATGGAGTGATACAAGTACCACTGTGGCTACCACCACTATGGCTGCACGGGGTCAGACCTGAAGTCAGTATAGTGCTGGGTCTCACCCAAGGCCTACTATAACCATACCCTATACTTCCTATATGTGCTCAAGGCCTTGGGGTAATGTCAGCCCTATCTGTTTCCTTCCCTTCAGGGCAGTGAAGTCCCCCAGGTTCCATATGGGTCCAAAAGTGCCATCTAGGAGTCAGGGACTATAGTCAAAACCTTAGAAGTCTACCTGGTATTCTATTGTATTGCAGCTGAGCCGGCATTCAAACCATAAGACACACTCCTTCCCACTCTTCCTTCCCCTTTCCAAAGACAGAGAAGCCTCATCCCATAGTCACCACCACCACTGGCCACAAGGAGTGCTGCCAGACTACCATTGACATTCTCTTAAGGCCCAAGGTCTTTTAAGTCAGCTTGTGGTGAATTCTGCCTGGCCTGAGACTCACCCATTAGGGTAGTGGGTTTCCCTCTGTCGCAGGGCAGGTTCAGAAATGCGATCCAAGAGACAAGTCCTGGAATTGGGGACCCTAAGAGCCATTTGGTTCTCTACCCCTCTGTGGCAGTGTTGGTACCTAAAGGGCAAGACAAAATCCTTTTACTTTTTTCTCTGCTTTTCTCAAGCAGTAGTTTTACCCATACCCACCACAGCTGGTAATGTGCTGAATCTCACCTGAAGCCATCAAGTCTCAGTGGCTCACCAAGTCCCTCAATGTAGTACCTGAATATCACTGCTGGTTATTCAGGGCCCAACGGTTCTTCAGTTAGCAGGTGATGAATGCTGCCAGAACTGGGTCTTTTTCTTCAAGGCAGTGGCTTCCCTTCTGGTACAGGGTATGCCTAGAGATGTCATGGGGGAGGTAGGGCCTGGAAAGGTTTCCTCATGACTCTAGCCAATGCCCTATCCTGCTGTGGCTGAGCTGGAATTCTAGATGAAAGACAAAGTTCTCCCTACTCTTCTCTCTCCTCTCCTCAAGCAGAATCAAGGGGACTCTTAGAGCTCTAAGCTTTATAGCCTGGAGTTAGAGGAGACGGTTTCACCTCCTCTAACTCTAGTAGAGCAAGGTAGTGCTGACAACACAGCCAGCACTACCTTGGCTGCACCAGCTGGTGTCTCAGTATGTCACATGCCCCCACAGTGCACTGTCTCTGGGACTAGTTCAGCACTACGAGTGCAGTCCTTATGGCTTAGATTGCCTTTCAAGTTTATCTAGGGGCACAGAGCACTTTGGGCCCTGGTGGCGCGGTTTGTGGGCTCTCAAGTTTGGATTATTGGGATCTGTGATTCCCCTCTGATTATGGCTGGTTTAAATGCTTCCTCCGTGGATAATCATCAGCTGAGTTTGGTCTGTCTGGGCAGGCATCAGCTGAGTTTTCCTTTCCGCTCTAACAGGACAACAATGAGTTCAATGCCTCACAATTACTGTGTTCTCTCTCCCCCAGCACCTAGAGCTGCTCTCTGCACCACTCAGCTGTTGCTACAGGTAGGGGGAGATGGCATCTATGATTTAGGCCTGTTTTTTCTATCTCTTCAGTGCCTCTTTCAGTGATATGGAGTTAAAACCAACTACTATGGGTGCTCACCTGATTTTTGGTTCTGATGAAGGTGTTTTTAACTTGGTTCTGTTTTTTGTTTTTTTTTCATTTTGAGCTCGAGTCTCGCACTGTCGCCCAGGCTGGCGTGCAGTGGCGCCAGCTCGGCTCACTGCAAGCTCCACCTCCCTGGTTCACGCCATTCTCCTGCCTCAGCCTCCTGAGTAGCTGGGACTACAGGCACCCACCACCACGCCCAGCTAATTTTTTGTATTTTTAGTAGAGACAGGGTTTCACTGTGTTAGCCAGGATGGTCTCCATCTCCTGACCTCGTGATCCGCCCGCTTCGACCTCCCAAAGTGCTGAGATTACAGGCGTGAGCCACCGCGCCCGGGCCCTTAACTTGGTTATGAAGCTGTTGTTAACTTGATGTCTTTGCAGGAGGTGGGGCAGTGATCAGTGGGACTTCTTATTTAGCAGTTTTGCTCTACCTCCCCTCCCACTCATTTTTGATGCCATTCTTATTATATCTGTGTTCAAATAGTTTTATTGCTGTGTTTTCTGTTTTATCTTATTGGTTAACTTGTTTCCTTCTGAATCAATACTAGACGGCCTAAATAAAGCTTTAGCATTAGTCTTGCTATCTAGAAAGTTGTTTCTACATAATAATCTTAGCTAGTCTGTTTCTTTTATACATTAATGTAAGATGTAGAATCAGCTTAAGTTTCATTTAAAAAGAGCAAGCAAATAAATTAACATAAAACCCTGTTAAAGTTAGAATAATTGCATAGATTAATTTGTGGAGAATTTATATTTTTACTATATCAACTCTTGCTTTTTATAAATATTTATTAAGGCTTTCTTTACTGTTTCCTAATGCAGTTTATAATTTTTGCCATAAAAATCTTGTATATATTTTTTGGATTTTGTTATTTAAAATATTTTTTCACAAAGTTTTTAAATTGAGCTTTTACTGAAACTAAAACTATAAATAAAACTTTTGTAAGAAAATATAAACAAATTATCATGTTCTTTTGTTTTGCAAAGAGTTCTTAGATGCTTGCAACGGTTCATTTTATGTGTCAACATGGCTTGGCCAGTGTCCAAATATTTGGTCAAACATGATACTGGATGTTTCTGTGAAGGTATTTTTGGATGGCATTTAAATCGGTGAACTTTGAGTAAAACAGTTTGCCCTCTATAATGTGAGTTAGCCTCTTGAATCAGTTGGAAGTATTGATAGAATACTGACCTCCTCCAAATAGGGAGTAGATTTGCCAGCAGATGCAGATGGCCTTCAGAATTGAACTGCAATATTAGCTCTCACTTGGGTCTCCAGTTTGATGGCCTTCAAACTTGAATCACAACTTTATCTGTTCCCTGGGTCTTCAAACTGCCTGCCTTCTCTGCAGAGTTTGGACTTGCCAGGCCTCAATTATCACATGATTTAATTTTTAAAGTAAATCTTCTCCTTGTGTGCACCTACTCTTGGTTCTCTTTCTCTGGAGAACTCTTACTAATACAGTGCTACACCAAAGGCATAATCACTAAAATTTTAAAAAGATAAATTGAACTGTACTGAAAGTAGAAGGCTTTTCTCTACAAAAGACACTATTAAAAGAATGAGAAGACACATCATAAACTGGGAGAATATATTTGTAAATCACGTATCTGACAAAGAATTTTTCAAGAATATGTAAATAGTTCTCAAAACTCAAAAATAAAACAAAAAACAACACAATTTTTAAATGGGCAAAAGATTTGGATATACACTTTATCAGATGACATAATTACGTGGCAATTAAGCACATGAAAATATGTACAATATCGCTATTTATTAGTGAAATTCATATTAATGCTACAATGAGATACTATTACATATCTATTAGAATGTCAAGGGGGAAAAAGTGTGACAATATGTTGACAAAGATATAAAATAACTTGAACTCTTCTTGTACATTTCTGGTGAACATTCAAAATGTTACAGCCACTTTAGAAAACAGTATGGCAGTTTTTCTCATGTACACTTTTATCACCCAGCAATTCTATTCATAGGTATTTACCCAAAAGAAATGAGAACTTATGTTCACCAAAAATCCTACAAGTGAATGTTTACAGCAGCTTTATTCAAAATCATGGAAAACTGGAAACAACACAAATATCTTTCAGCAAGTGAATGAGAAATAAACTGTGGTGAAAGCCATAAAACACAATAAAAGAAATCAACTGTTGATGCATATAACGACAACATAACTTAATCTCAGTTTCTTTTTAGTAAGTAAAAGTTGTCAGAACTGAAAGTCTAAATTCTGTATAATTCAATTTATGTGACATTTATAAAAGATAAAACCACTGGGACAGAGAACAAAATAGTGGTTGCAGAGGTTGAAACTGTGATGAGGGGCTGACTACAAAGAAACAGCACAAAATTTCTGTATTGTGTTGGTAGACACGCAACTCTCTCGCAACCCACAAAATGGTACACCACAAAGACTGAATTTTGAAGTAGGTCAATATAAAATCTAAACTAAGAAAAGATGTCTGCAATATTTTTACTCAGATTTCCTGTCCCAGCCTTCGTACAGGTGTTGTGTTAAACCTCTTTTATTTATTGTTTCTGGATGAGGAGTCTTATGATAGATGATACATTACATATATTCCCAAGAAGAAAAATTGGGATAAGGAAAACTAATTAAAATTGATGATACCCCCTCTGTGCACTTGAGTACAATATTATACATTTGCATCCATCATGCCATTTAACTCTTATATCAACCTTATGAAGGAAGTTGTTAACATATAGACACTTATCCTACAGAAAGAACAGGAAACCCAGGAGGGTTTGGAGGGCTAACAACGTAGTTGTCTGATTCAGCATTTTGTGCAATCTCCATTATATTACTTTTATAAAATTTATTTTTTATTTATTTTTAAATTATTATTATTATTGATATTAGTATTTTTGGTACAGATGGGATCTTACTATGTCATTCAGATTGGTCTCAAACTCTTGCCTCAAGCAATCCTCTTGCCTCAGCCTCTCAAAGTACTGGGATTATAGGTGCGAGCCTCCACGCCCAGCCATGATACTATTATAGGGCAGATAGTTATTGTTAATTATGTTTTTTGTGATTAGTAGATGAAGGATACAGAAGCAGGTGAATTATTTCATTTATCTGTTGTTCCTTTCTCTCCCAAGGTGATCCACTGTGTGATACATAAGACAAGTGTCCTTCATAAGAAAATTGTAAGTGTCTATTGATGGAAATGCTTCTCTTTAGGGAGTTCTTTTTCTTCTCTGGAGCTTTCTAGGTAGGTGACAGCAGTATACCTAGTGCCACATTGTAACTAAAGTGACACACATTAACAAAATAATAGTGCTGCCTTTATATGTTTCTTCTAATGTTCCAGAGTTATCAATTGTATAATCATCAAAGAGTTCATAAAATTATTTTTCTGTGAAGAACAAAGCTGATCTTACCCCTGTTTTTTGAACATGTGTTGACAGGTACACAGGAAAGTGGAAAATATTTCTTAGAGAAAATCTGAGTCATTAAGTTGTCCAGATAATCCATTCACTTTGTAAGCTGTACATCTCACATTATTATTAGTTTAGTATGTGCTGAACACTGAATAAAAACATTTCTTTGAAACTGCGTGAGTACAATGTTTATGAGATAATGCACCTCTGTCAACATGGACTCAAGTCCATTTTGTGCCATGTGTGTAGGTGGAAAACTGGGTTAGGAATGAGGGAAGGCACTGTTAGCATCAGGGCCTGTGAGCAGAGAATAGAAATACGTATGAGTCAAAAACAGAAACTTTCAGACAGGGCTAAAACAAAATATTACAAATCTTAAAGGACACACTAAGTAGTCTAGAATGAAAGAAGCAAGAACTCAGATAATCATGAAAATTGAAAAGGGAGGCAGGAGGCACCATGAGGCATCAGCATCCCGGAAGCAATGGTTGACACAACATTCAGCAATGACCTTCTTAATGCATTGCCAGCCAAGGCAAGACACTTTCTGAGGAAGTGTCTTAGTCTGTTTTGTACTGCTATAGCAGAATACCTGAGACTGAGTAATTTACAAAGAGCAGCAATTTATTTTCTCACAGTTCTAAAGGCTGGGAAATCGAAGAGAAAGGTGTTGTCATTTGTTGTAGACTTTCTTACTGCATTCTGACATGGTGGAAGGTGGAAGATGAAAGGTCAAGGAAGACAGAACCCGCTCCACAAGCCCTTTTAATAGCAACATTATTCCATTCATGAGGATGGAGTCCTCATCCCCTAAACATCTCCCATTAGGTCCCACCTCCACTCATTGTTGCATTTAGGATTAAGTTTCCAACACATGAATTTTGGGGTACACATTTGAACCACAGCAGCAAGACAATCTAAAACTGAAGTATGGAAGCAGTGTCAGTTATATGGAGAGGGAAATGTACTTGGATTAAAACAAAAACAAAAACAAAAAACCTCTTGGCAGTTTACTATAATTGTTCAGAAATTCATGTTTGTGACTTCGAACTAAGGTATTTGTGTAATTATCTTCACTGAGACCTGAAGGTTTTTATTTTGTTTTTCTTCCTATTTTTGGCAATATAAACTAGAGGGAATTATCTACCTGACTTAGAGCCAATTTAAAAACTAACAAAATAGCACCCATTAACCTAATTTGACTTACCCAGTAAGTCAATATTAGCTAGTGCTAATATTCATCTTCATTTAAGGCTTGTTAAATTAATCTCTTACCTTAACTCTTAAGCCAGCAGGTGTTAAGCATGATAATCTATTGGGATATTCATTTGCATATAGTTTTTCCTTAATTTCCTCTCCTCCCACTAAATTGAGTGGCCAAGCCTACCTATTAATTGCCACAGGTAATTTTACAGGAGCTAAATCAGAGGTTTCCTGAAGATAATGTTTCTTATTGTGTTCAGTAAATGCCACAACAAATTGAAGATATGGGAATAGAGAAAGAAAAGGAA
Source organism: Homo sapiens (assembly GCF_000001405.40). Classification (NCBI taxonomy): domain Eukaryota; kingdom Metazoa; phylum Chordata; class Mammalia; order Primates; family Hominidae; genus Homo; species Homo sapiens. Next base: position 110,463,103 of record NC_000003.12, read on the forward strand.
GATAATTCTTCAAAAGTAGGAAGAAACAAAAATCACCAGACCCTGATGTTCTTGGTCACTTGATACCTACTCTGCAGTAATGCCCTGTGGAGAAGGCCAGACCTCAGAGACAATGGAAGCATGCTGCGCATGAGAGGCTGGCCCTGGGTATGCCAGTGCCCCATGACTAGCTCAGAAGCCGAGTTCTACCAGATGCAGAAAATGGGGGTAGCAGCAGCCATCATAATTCAGTAAAGACTGAGGGTCTTCCTGTATTTCAGAAGTCACATGATCTTTCCAGTTTCTTGAGACGTCTTGCTGAAAGGAAGAGCCCTGACACTGATAAAAATAGAATTTTTCTTCCAGAAGATAGAAGAATAAACAAGGGAGAGGTCTGGCAGCTGTTTGATGTTGATTTTAAGACAACGTTAAAAGCATTTTTGTTTCTCTCACTACTACATTTTTAGATTAGTATTCCTTTGTGGCATGTGCTTAATTGTAGCGCTTACAGCAAGGTTAACTTAGCTGCTTCCCCTTTTGCAGAATTTAAAGGGTCCCTTGTAGAAATACTGCCCTTATTTAGATTTAGTTACTGTTTTCAAAGTGAATGTGAACATAGTAACCTTTACTATATTTGTACGCTTGTAGAATATTAAGAAAAAATTGAAAAAAGGACAATTTAGGCTCAGCACTTTTTTTTTTCAGATTAAAAAAACCTGAAATCCAAAGTCATAGCATGGCCTCTAAGATAACAGATGTCCAGAGGTAGAGTTGGGACCAAGGCTCACATCTCCTGGAACACAGCCTCAGCACTGCCTGCCTGCCTTCATAAGACACCTAAGCCAGTCTGGCCCTATCTTAAAAATTGCTAAATTGAGAGGAGGAAACCTCTTCCTTCAATTAGGGAAAATTTGCTGTTTAGTATCATATTTAGAAAATAATATTCTTCCAGTGAGTTATCCACAGAAAGGTATTATTCTTCACAGTGAGCCCCTATGGTTTTCAGAACTATGATTTTAACTTTGTCATCTAGTCCCATTTTCATCAATCTGTGTGGCAATACATAGATTTCTCTCCTGAGGTGAGTAATTCTGCTAAGAAAAAGAAAGGATCAGTTTCTCTCTCTCTCTTTTTTTTTTTCACTAAAATCCTCGTAAGAAAGACATTGGATCAGGAGTTAGTCTTATTTCTGGGCCCATGTAGGAAAGTGGGCAGCACAGTGCTAGAAGATAGGGATCCTTCCTGTTTACCAGTGGCTTTGCGCAGTGTACACCAGAGAGAATAGGGTGAGCATTTTGTACTGAGACATTCAGCATCTTAGCAGCAAAATGTGAGTGAGAAGCATGGGAAATAGAGGTGGGGACTTTGGGCAGAACCCTAGACCTCTCGTTGAAAACAGAGTGCCTGGGACAGTGGTGAGGTCTTCCTCCACTGAAAGCAGCAGCTTTGAAGAGAACTAGAAGTGACAGAACTGTAAGATAGCAGAGCAGAGCACATACCCCGCACCTCCTCAGGGCTCCCAGAAAGACTGAGGATAAGGGATAGAGTGCATAAGTTTTGGGGGCTGGAATTTCAGCAGGTTCTCTGATGGAGGGATAGAGCCACAGAAACAGAATTTAAAAGATGTTAATTTAATCTATTTTTTTCCCCTTTGGCTTGCTGTGGCATAGGGACAAATGGGTTAGAGTGGAGCAGTCATGTAGTATTTGCCGTATTTAACTAATCCCATTGATTTCTCCCTCCTCTGCTTTCTCCCTTCTTTCCACCCCATCTCAAACTCACTTTTTTCAAAGTTTGATCTGAACCCCAGCCCTGATACCTATCTTGTAATGCTTCTCCCTGATCTGATCTTCAATGGCATTTGTGGTTTGTCCCCAATTTTAATTTATCCTATGCTATCTTATCTTATTGGTCATCTTTTCAAGAGTATTTAGCTTTTCCCCTCTTATAATGCAACCCTGTGGTTTTCATGTCTGAATACCACCAGACACTCAGGAAAGCACATTAAATCTTGTAAAGGGTTAATAAATGTTTATTGATAAAATTATTGACATTGCATTTAAAAGCAAATTAAACATTGTGAATCTCTCTAATTTAAAAAATACACACAACAATAATACAACTGTATAAAGTATCTGCTTCCCCTTTTGCAGTTACTTAAATTGGAAAATTCATAGTCATTAGTACTGGCAGTTAAAAGACTTTCTGTTGTATTCTGATTGTCTCTCCATTCAAAATGACATGCTGAAATAGTGATAATCTTCTGGAATAAATTAGAAGACATTTTTGTTTTTTAAGTGTCTTAAATACCTCCTCATTTAAAAAAATAGGAAAGAGTGATATTATAGAAATAAACTATAGAAAATAAATGCAATATTTTAATGCTGATTTAAAATTTAAAACTTTCATAATTATCAACTAAGCAAACTGCCACATTTCACACTTTCTTTAAAATGTGAATTAGTTAAGTTTATTTCAAACTTAATAACCACAAGTTAAGTTTGATTATTTTCCTTTTGAAAAGACTCTTCTGGGGACTCTTAAAAGGATAAGTTCCCTGGTGGCTTTAATCTCTGGATCAACCAAATAAAATTCATTTTTGAATAAATAAAAGAACAAGATATTTTATCACACACTATGTCTCCATACCTCTCAAGCCTTATCAGAGCACTTAAGGCTGGTGTTCATTGTTCCCTGCCTACCCTTCAGCCCCAGGGTTCATCACTATTGCACCTTATGTTCTTGCAATTCCTGGCTATATCCAAGCTTTCAAGCCCTGGCCCTCGCATTTGCCTGTTTATCTGGCTGGAGAGTTCTCCTACCCTATCTTCACGGAGAAAACTCAGACTTCTTCCTCAGCCTCTGCCCACAGTGTTTTTCCCATAGTATGTAGGCATGTCTGCCTCATTCTCATTTTCTCTTTTCAGCTCAAATGTCACACAGCAGAGAGACTTCCCTCACCACCTTGTCCCAACTGGCTTTCCCAATTTCACTCCATAACCCATTGCATGATTATTTCCTTTCTTGGTAACAACAATTTTCAGTTTTCTTGCTTATTTACTTGTTTATATGTTTATTGTCAGATTACCCATGTAAACATTAATTTGTTTACTAAGGTGGAGGTTTCACCTGTCTTGATCAGTTTTTCGCATTCCTAAATTCTCCTGCAATTCCTGTCACACACCTGCCCTCTTGATAAGAGGAAAGGGTCTTGAAACATTATACGCAACCAGATGTAAGCAGAAAGAGTTTTGTAGTCAAAGAATGCAGCAGGAAACGTTTGAGATGTTCTGGAATTTGAAAAGCTGAAGGAAGGCTAACATTGGAACCTTTGCTTCTAGCTACACCACTGACATAACTGTGACATCTGGAGTCAGTTACTTGATTTGAAGGATATATTTGAAATAATTTTAAGTTTTAAAACTCTAGGGTACTGTGATTTATCTACTTTGCTTTGGATTCTAGTGATTAATTTGTGCTATCTTCTCTAAAACAAGCAACAGTTTATATTTGACTTTTTCGGTTTTAATTTTTTTGTAGCATTAGCTGTCTGACTTCAGTCAAGCAACTTAGTGTTTTGTGTGTCAATTTCTTTACCTATAATTTGATAGGGCAGAATGAGAGAGGGAGCACTAAAATCCCTTTTAGATTCCCCTCAACCCCCATTTGTTTTTACACTGCTTTTTGTTTGCTTGCTTGCTTTTAGGACACAGAACTTTATGATGGATAAACCAAGGGAAAGAGGAGAACAGACACCAGAAACTGGCCATGGGAAGAGTTCTCAATAGGGCTGATGCTAACAAGCTCAGTGATACTTGGTGAGCATTGAAGCTGACCTCCTTCTATTACCTGCAGGTACAAAGGTGCACATTTCCTGCCTCACATGTTGTACAGCAATTCAGTAAATTTCCAAGTGTTATTAGCTGGTATCTTATAAGCCAGTTGGCATGGTGCTTGGCACATAGTCAGACTTTAACCAAAGGTCTGCTAAGATATTTATTAAAATAAAAGATTTAATCCTGGTTTTGATTTCCCAGTGTGACAAAACTCTGAAACGATAGCACAGGTGGGGACAGCTCAAGCCCTGGAGAAGTGGAGTCGTCACTAGAGTTTTAGAATTTTCTATCACCTTAGTCATTGATACTGTTAGTATACCATGTTTCTCTTCCCACTAAATCCTGCCAAATACAAGTGTCCCATTTCAGCTGCCAATTTCATGAGGCAGATGAATTACTCTGAGTAACACATGACTTGAAGGGCATCCACTTCTGTGATGACTTCAAAGATCTATCAACAATAAACTGGGGCAACATCTACCAAAAGGGCTGCTGGCAACTTGCACTAACTTTGCACATCTGAAAGTTTTCTGCCCCAAAAGACCGAGTCTTCCAGGGGCCAGCGCTGTCCTAAAATAAACTTTGGGCTCACCTGATCAAATCCTCTTAATTTAAAAGTAACCATACTGATAATTAGGGTGAAAATAATTAAGATATTGAATGCAGTGGTTAAGAGACTCCCGGATGCATATTCTAAGCTCTGCTACTTATTATGTCATTTTCCAATAATTAATTAACCTCTCTGTGCCTGTTGCCTCATCTGTAAAATTGATGCAATTTAGCAGTGTCTACAGTAATAAGTATTTTTCAACCATCTTCCATTTTAGAAAAAGTCCTCCCTCGAAAATGGGAATGTTTGAGCAAGTATATGGGTTTGGGAAGGACATGTTTGGAGAAGTGAGAAAAGAAGTGTGCATATACCTAACTGTAGCCAAACCAGATTAATCCTGGTAATAAATGATGGAACAGTGTCACTTTCTGAGATAGAGGAGCCTGGTGAAAAGAAGAAGTACCTCCACAGCCCACTGGTTAAATAATAATTATGATGCCAATAATTATCTTCTTTAAGTATTTTATAAATATCAGAATGCCTAGCTCCTGAAAATAGGATTTGAAAATTTTAGGCAAATGTAAAGAGCTTTCTTAACAGTGTTGACTGGTAGTGTGAGTCATCAGCAATAGGGGCAGAGTGGGGGACATATGGGATGGGAGGGAGAGATAATGGTTTCTCAGTCTCTCTTAATCTCGTGTGAGACGGTATAAATATATTGTCATGGAATAACTAAAATATAAATTATCTTGTTATTAATTATTTAAAGTAGCCTTCCAGAAATGAGGAATTGATAAAAATTTAAGCACAGAAATAACCAATGAGGTGTATCATTATGTTTACATTGTTTCTTTGAATTGTCTCTTTGGGGATATCATTAGCTCCAATTTTCCTAGCTTTACCATGTAGAAATAGTGTGAAAGTCAAAATTACAAAATTACATAGGTATTTTTAAGAATGTTTTAAACATTTTATGGCCTCACATCCAATTGCATGCCATTTCTTCTGAGAGTAGCATCTTTCTTTGGTTTGATTTTAATTACTCTAGTCTGGTTCAGTTTGGGTACATTATTTTTGTTTTGGTTTGGTTTAATTTTGCTATTGGACCCTAATTATTAAAGTCTCCTAGTAAAATTAAATTGTCTTTCAGCATACCCAAAACATTTATAAACTATGTGTATGTACTAGCATATTAGGTCAGTGCTAAATACAAGAAAATAAAACTCCTTGTTTGCTATGTTTTAAAAGAGGTTTTAACAGAAATAAATTTATATTTAAATTAGATTTGATTAAATGTTTTCAAGCTGAAATAGTGAAATTCAGGAGCAGCATTTTGCATTAGTGGTTCTTCTAATTCTGAACAAGAATATGTCTGTCTCAGCTAGTGCCCTACATCAATCATTACTTAGAAATGTCATTCTCATCACCATGTCAGCAAGTAATATACTTTTTGCAATTGCTATGTAACCAGCACTCTGGTGTTTTTCAAGTATTAACTGATTTAATACTTACAATATAAATACCATTATTTCTAAAAAGTTACTTGACCGAAGATTCATAGTTAGTAGTGAATGTAGGCCTTGAACTTGGGTTAATGTGACCATAAAAGTTTTCAGTCTTAGCTCTTAAGTTAATCTGCACATATTTCAATGGTATTCTGCTAAATATGTCTATTAATATGAGTTTGATACTATCAATACTAAATTCAATACATTTAAATCTTTTTAAAATTACTTGTATTTGCGCCCTCTTTTTTCACTTTCTCTCACTCTCACTTCTCTTTTAAATGTTTTGAAAAACAGAGCCATTAAATTCGTCAGTATATTCTATATTCTCAACTAACCATTTGCATTATGCTTTTAATTTAATGTATTTCCACTTAAGTCAATGCATACAAAAGTATGTCTTAGTAAAGTCATGCAAGCAAAGATTACATTTTGAAAGAATTCTTTACCTATAATGTTTATTTAAGTCAACAGATTAAAGATTTAAGAGAACAAAATTAGCTGTCATTCGGTAAATTCAAATTCCTCTTTAGCATAATAACCATCCTTGAACACCTTCAACATTTGACAAAAGAATTCAGCAGAGTGGTTATATTACCTTGAGTTGAATTACCTGTAAGCAAATTGAAAGTGAAGAAAATTAAATTCATATGCTATGTAGGCTTCTATACAAATCTACAATAATTGTATTTAAATTTGAATTCTTTCTTAACAATTGCATCCCTGTGAGAATTCATGGAATAATTGTTTAGTGGAACAAAATAGATATTCAATTTCTAAGCAAATAGAACTTATTTTAAAAGTTATAGAATACAGTTGCATATTGAAACACAGCATTGCTTACAGTTAATAAATTAAAAAGCCAGTTGTTTTAAATAGATCATCTTGAAAGTCACCCAATATGCCTTATTACATGGTTTTCCTTATATTTGAACTCAAAACTTGACTCTCATTAGATAGTCAAGTAGGGATGATTGCAGAGTATGGAGGGCTTGTAAGTGCTACTAGCTTGGGTTTTGATAGCTATTAGAAGATAGCCTAAAAAATTATATAACATAAGAAAATTATCTCCTCTGTATAACCTAAATGAAAATAATTTGGAAGTAGAATTATGATTTGATTCACAATAGGGAGAATTCAGTTAAAATTGTTTAAACTCATTAATCATGATACAAGCTATCAAATTAGAAAGACCCAATAAACCAGATGGATTCTGGGTTCTTACTGGAGGTATAGAGTCTACCTTTTATCCGGTGTTTTTAAAAATGTGATTCATAGACTATTTACTTCATAATGCTCTGAAAGACTTATTTTAAAAATACAGATTTCTAGGACTGTCTCAGGCTACTAAATTAAAATATCTATGGGTGAGCCCAGGAATCCATATTTTTACTAAGTACCTCAAGTGATTTTTGAATTTTAAATGTAACAATAAAATACAGAAATCTCAAATGTGCAGCTGGATAAATATTTACATATGAATATACCCATGTAACTGTCATTCAGAATCAACAGATGGCTAATTTCCATCACTCTAGAAGGATTTTTCATGCTCTTTCTAGGCAATAACACACCCAGAGGAAAAATACTACTGTTTTGCCTCTTCTTGAACTTTATACAAATGGAATACATAATATATGCTTTTTGTAGTTGATTGACTTCTTTCAACATCCGGTATTTTAGATTCGTCGGTGTTGTTGAGTTTATTAACAGTGCATTCTGTTTTAATTGCTTTATAGTTACATGATGCATGTTTGGGTAGTTTTCCAGGTAATTCTTAAGTACTATAATATTTTAAAATCTTTCACTTATAGCTTTGAAGGAATATTCTGTGGTTGATCAGGACAGCCTGCCACCAAAATAGAAGTTTCAAATGTTCTATCTTCTAAACATTTTACCATGAAATTTCAAATTTAAATCACTCCTTTTTTTGATTTAACCATAGTTACAGAGGCTGAATTTACATTAAAACAAATGCTGTCTGATAGGACTTTCTATGCATACATTTTATAGAATATTTTATCATATTACCATGTATACGTTTATAGGATTAACTGGCATAAAGAAGGTTAATAGACACAGAGTGATAGGAAGAACCAACGGAGAAAAGGCAAATAGATGAAGCCTTAGGAAATCCTACTTTTACTGAAGGTAGGGAAGAAAGGAGAGGAGTGAAGTAGATTATAGACCTGTGAGTCCCCTTTCTCAAACACATTACACCCCTTCCCATCCCACTCAACTCTTCCCATGCCCTTGCCTGTTGCCAGCTACCACTTTCTCTTGAACTCATCCTAACTAGGCTGAGAACCCACTCTCTTCCCATGTGTCATGATTAAAGTACCAGCATCAAATATGCAGGATTACCTTCTATGCCTTCTTTTCCCAGGTCCCTGCACCAAGACCTTGGCTGACAAGAAAAACCTCCATGCAATGGTGATGGGTATCTCATTCAACCCAGCATTCGCTTTATCTTTGCCAGAAAGTTCCAGTGATGGTTTATAAATAAGACCCCCAAACTTTACTCTTTATTTGGTATAGTGCCAGTAAACATACTAACTTAGAGCGTAGAATATTCTTGGTCTACAATTAAAACCACATTTAAATTTATTTGTTGAACAGTAGTCATATTTCATACATAATGTAATTGAGAAATTACTTAATAAACTTTTAATTTGACTTTGGAATTGTCTTGTTAGGTTCCTGAATATTCTATTAGAAAATGAACCACGAGTCAGTGAACAAGTCAGAATTAAAGCAACAGTCTAAATCTTTTTGTAGACTTTAGTATAAAATTATCTATATATACATATGTCTTCATGCGTGTGTATACGTGTGTGTGTGCATGTATATGTGTATGTGAATCATCACACACATTATCACACAGAGATTGTTTCTAAAGAAGTTCTCTGGAATGTGCTATTGGACTTGCACTCCTTGTGATATTTAAACCTAATAGCTCAGGTTTGTAAGCTATGCCAACAAATCAATAAATTCAATAAATTCTCAATTCTAATAAATCCATATTGTCAAAATTCAGTCAAAAGCTGAATGTCTAGCATATCCTGAAGTTACTTCCAAAACTGCTCAATATTTATGAAAAACATGTTTACTTTAGTGATGTCTCCAGTATTTTACATACTTTGTATGGAATAACTTGTAAAATTTATTTCCCCCTTATTTAAAAATTATTCTACTACAGTATAAACAGCCAATTTGTTGAGTATCTCTTTGGTTTTTCAACCATCTATAGTGATTTATATAATGACTTTTGAGGGTTGAAAATTTTTGGTATTTAATATTCAAAATAGTGCATACTCAAGAATTTAATAAGCTTTTGAGACTTTCATAAGGCAAGTCAGAATAGTGTTTACTTTTGAAAAATTAAGCAATTGAGGCAAGAAGAAATAATTGATTTATCTTAGTGAATCAAGAAGCTGGCTATAAACCTTAGTACTAGATCACTACTTGTGATTATTTTTTCACAAGTTTATCTTAGAAAGAAAGTAGCTAATTTCTGAAGATTCTTGCACAACCTTCAGTGAATTTTCTGGCTCAACATTACTAATGTGAGGAAATCACATGTGAAAACAGGTACAATGTGCCTTTGTTTAAGAATTTACTTCTGAAGGCTAATTTCTAGAGCACCTTTGCCTTTCATTATGGGGTAAAATCATAATTAATATTTTTATTATAAAGGTGATAAAAAACTGTCTCCTTTCATCAAGTTAACATCCATTTATTTTTCTCAAACATTGTAAAAGACATCTGGATTCTTGTTTCCCTCATGGATAGAAGAGACTCCTGCTACATAACATGGTCCATCAAAGCATAATTCAACATCTATTCCCAACATACTGCCCCATTTGTCTGTGAAAATCTATGTTAGTGCTTATGATGTGTTGGTTTTTTTTTTTCTTTTTTTCCTTTTTTGGAGAAAGTAAGAGAGAGAGAAAAAGCCATGCACAGGGGTCGGATGCCTGTAGTCAAAGAAGACAAGGCATAAATACCTCTTACCACTAGGAACTTATACAAGTCACATGTTCCAAATACGTTACCAGTGGAAGAGAGCCGAGTTACCCCAAGTTACCGGTGGTGAATCCATACAGGTCCACAGCAGCTTCAGTCCTTGCCTCCTCAGAAGGAAGAATTTGACTGAGGAGCATAAAGCAGAAGAGACCGAGGCAAGGTTCAGAGCAGGAGTTAAAGTTTGTTAAAAAGTTTTAGAACAGTAAGGAAAGGAAGGGAAGGAAAGAAAAGAAGGAACATACTACTTGGAAGAGGGCCAAGCAGGCAACTTGAGAAACCAAGTGCCAGCGCATATGATCTTGCCAAAACCTTTCAATGCCTAAGTCACTCAGAAAAAAAAAAAAATCCAAAATCTAAAAAAATCAAGATTTCTTACGTTGGTCTAAAAAATTGTAAATTATTTGTTATCTCCCTAACTTCACCTCCTACACTTCTCTTGCATGTTCTTCGTTTTTTTTTTTCTTTATTTTCCTTCATGATGTTGGATCTCTTAGAGTTTCTTAAACTCACTAAACATACACTCAGCTTAGAGCCTTTGCCCTCCCTGAGACAGACTAAAACGCGCCTTCCAGAGCCATTTGGGCAACTCGCTCCCTTACTTCCTTCTGTTATCTATTCAAATGCTATTTTATCAGGGATGGCCTTTCTTGAGTACACTCTGTAAAATAGCCACTTCTTTCTACCTTGGTGCTCCCTAGACTTTATAGATACTATATAGTCCCTTTTAAAGTGTTTATTGCCTATTTCTCTCAACTAAACTTTGAGCTCCATAGGTCTTATTTGCTTTGTTCCCTACTCTTTTTCCAAGAAGGGAGAACAGCATGTATATGATGTTCAAAACATATTTAATAAATAAAAGAATAGACATAAATAATAATATAGCAAAACAAAGGTAAAACATCTGAGTTTGTGTTCAATTTTGTCTTTTATTAGTGAAGACATTATTGTAAAGATATTACAGCTGGCCTAACAGGTGTCAACACAAATGTTTGAAGCTCACAGATAAAAGGTTTTGGGGTGGTATGTGTATGTCACAGGGGCAGGGGGTATATTTATATTTCCTTTCCAGAGACCCAATGGCTCTGCAGTAGGCCCTAGAGGTTACACAGACATAAATCATGGACCTCACCGAAGGCAGCGTGTGTGACCTGGGAAGCTTGAACTCCAGCTGGAGTTTGAAGAGGCCAACTGAATTACCACATGCTGATAAGCAGTAAGAGTTCAAAACTGATTTTGAGAATCTGCTAATTTTAATTATATATTTTAATCCATTCCCCCTTTCTTTTTTGATTTCTCAATTTTGTTCCACACATATCATTTTTTTTCTTCTGAAAAGTGCCAGTTTTCCCAGTTCTACAATATCTCCACCATTGTTTCATTTTCTCCCAGCATGCCATTTGGTGAGGAAAGAGGCTTTAGCTTGCCTCACTGTTCCTGAAACTAGCTCTATCCAACACCAACATGTAGGCACTACTCTCAAGAAGAAACAAATGGTCTGTCAGAAATTTCAAATCATTTTCAACAGGGAGCAAGCTTTTCTGTTGATACCAGCTCTGTTCAGCATCTCACATATAAATTCACTCTAGATGTGTGTGCTCTAAACCTGGCAGGCAGAGTGATGGAGGAGGCTTGGAAGCAGAGGTGTTAGAGGCACCGTACTGACTGGCAATCGTGACAGGAATAATGCTCAGCTCATCTATAGCTTTTCTAACTGTAGGTACCATTAAGATGGTCTCATAATGCAAATGAAAAGGGAGGAAGAAAAGCATGTATTTTTTAAAAGACTAACATTATCATTTTGTAGGGGAACAAGAAATCATGTAACAGGGAATATAAAAAACAATCATTGTATTATGGTAGGGAAGTGGGGGTAAATATTTCTCAATTTTGAACTTTGTTTTAATATTAGAAAAATGTTTTAATAAGTGTTAAGATTTAAGCACGAATCAGCTCTAGTGCTGTGGATTTATTGACATTAAGTCTAGGGATTATATCTCAATTCTTAAAAAAAAAGTCTAATGATACTCATATTAGTTTTTCATGTACACCTAACAAATTGCTATACTTGAAAGTAGGGAAAAATTAGAGTTAGAGGTGTCTACCCACACCATACAAACCAAATGCTAAGGATAATTCCACCATAGCACAGAAACCCAAACAGGAGAGGAAGTAACATTTACTGGCACACTTTTCAGGTTATCTCCTTCACTTCACATCAATCCTGGGGGATTCTATGAGTTCATGTTAGAGAGGAACAAGTGGAGCTTTGAAATAATTAACTTGTTTAAGACCACAGAGCCAGATAATCTGATTCAATCTCATCCCTATCTGTGCTTCAGATACGAGCATGTGTAAATGAATATTCACTTGAACCTAAAAAATTAGTAAGTTTTATATTAACAAAGTAGTTTTGCATCCACACTTAAATGATTTAGAGCCCCTGGCAGCTGTGTTTTGGGGAGCTAATATTATTGTACTCTAATTGTGGTGAATCTTCATAAAGCAATACCAATATTATTGATAATTGTATATATATGTTTAGATATGTATGTGTTTAATAGAAAGTCTCATAACCTACCTCCACTTCATTTTCTTGTTAGATTGACTGAAAGACACCCACAGTCTCTCTGTGGTATCTTCTTACTGAGAGCCACAGCATGTTAAACACTATGGCCAATATTCCAGTATGCCTGTACATATGTTCTCTAAGTTAAATGCATAAATAGCTTTTACTGAATCATTTGTGTTTGCTCCCAAAATTGCTTATATGCCAGGTTTATATGTTACTAAAAATAAATAATTTAATTGGATATTCTATAAATACTAAAATAGTAGAGAAAAATGTTGAGTTGATGAAAATTAAATCGAATGCTTTTAAAAGACTTAGAAAGGTTAAACTTTAAATTATTTCTGTGGAACTAGGTATTAGCCAAACAACTGAAAAGATGGAGGGGGTGGATCACAACATTTCAAACGATTCTGAAATCAGATTATTTTGCAATTAACTTTAAGATCTTGTTACACTTTAAAGAACACAAAACTGGAAAATATAGAAGTATTGTAAGTGTGATTTACATAAAAAGGTAATTGTAATTTCAGTTGAAGAATCCATTTGTCCTACCACAACAATCAAGAAATTAATAAATATTTACCTACTGAGTTTTTAAAAAATTATAGATAACTGTATTACTTGTGATTCCCTGCTTCAAAAAACTACCTCATCTTGATTGCCTCACTGTATTAGTTTTCTATTAATAGCTTAAAATAACACAAATTTATTTTCCAGTTTCTTTGGTCAGAAGTCTGGACATGGTATGACTGGATTCTCTGCTTAGGGTCTCAGGGAGCTGAAATCAAAGAGTCATGTGGGGCTGCCATCTGGGGCTTAGAGTCCTCTTCCAAGCTCACTGGTTGTTGGCAGAGTTCATTTCCTCACAGTTGTAGTACTGAGGTCCCCATTTTCATGCTGGCTGTTAGGTGGGAACCACTCTCAGGTCAGAGACTTCCTTGCCATATAGACTCCAAAGGCTAGTCACAGCATGCACGTTTGCTTCTATTTTCCCCTGCCAGCCAGAGAGTGTCTCCTTGATGTTCTCTTTTGGAATCAGCTAGAGAAAATGTTCTGCTTTTAAAGGATTCATGTGATTAGGTACACACAGGTAATCTCCCTCTGTCTCTTTTTAAACAGCTTTATTGAGGTATAATTGATATACAAAGAACCGTACACATTTAATGTGTATATTTGATGATTTTGAATATAAACAACCCCCCTTACCTTGATTATAGTGATGATAATCTCCTTCTTTTAAAGTAAAGTCTGTCATATTGTATAACCTAAACACCAGACTGAAATAAATTATATTCACAGTTCCTGAGATTATATAGGACGTGTACATCAGGGAATCTCAGACTCTTAGGGGGCATCTTAGAATTCTGCCTACCACAATCATATGAAAGGTTGATGCATGAGACTCCAGTATACCATAGTCCACATGACATCAGCAAAATTCAACTGGAACCAACCAGCTTCCTGTAATCTCTGGTTTTTGCTCTCGTCCTTTCTTTTGTCACTCTTCTGTCCCTTCCAAAGCAATTTAAATATTTACAGGATAATAACAGGCTCCTGATAATATTAGCAATGAGTGGTTGCTGTATTAAAATAAAAAGAAATTCTGATTTTAATTAACAAAAACACCTTGAGAAGAATTCTCAGTTGATTTCACTCAGACAGCCTCCTACTCTCTGACACCCACATCATTTTTCTTTAAAACAAGACTTAGTTAAAAAAAGAAAATGCGTTTATTTGGGATATTATTAGTTGAGATTGGTGAGGGTAGATAAAATAGTGATTCCTAAAATAATCATTTGTTCTCTTCAAAATGAAAATACTTCACAATCAAAAAATTCAAATAATAATAAACTAGAATAATAGAAAAAATTATCTGATGCAGGATCAGAGAATTGAAGAGAGGGCTCAGATCAACTGTGTTGATATAAAGGACACTGAAGAATCTAAATCTAATGTAATAAAAGGAGACATTGTGGGTGACTATGGTGTTTTTAGCTATAGACACCATAGTGTTTTCTAGCTATACTAATCTGAGTTTCCCATTTTGACAGGCACCAAACAGCCTCCCATTTTTCATGAACCTTAGTGCCAGGTAGAGATGCCTTTTGCCATCACTCACACTCTCCTTATAGTGTTTTGTCTTGGAATAAAAAAGGGAGCCTGATGAATATGACTAAGAAAAGAGTGATAAAACTCATTTTCAGTCCATAAATATACGTTTCTTTGACCTTCTCCATGACATTGAAGGAAGTCCTTCAGTTATTGAAGGTAAATAACAACTGGAGAAAATGGTTTAGAGGAAATGTAAGCATCAAATGAAAGTTTTGACTAGATACTAGGGTTATTCCCTACCCTACCTATTATTATATGCACCTATGAATAGAAAACATAATAAAATGTTTAGAAGATCCCAGGAGTCAAGCAAAGTGGATATGAACCACTCAGTAGTCAAGAGTTATCATATTATTTGGTCTGCTAATCCCCCACCCAAAAGTCAGTGGGTCCTTCTTTAATTTACCTCATCTTACACACTAGACAGCCATTCTCTCATTCAAAACACAAATGTGATTATTTACTGTGATTGAATGAGCCTCCAAATCACACATTTTTAAAATGCTTCAATAGAACTGTCTGAAATATTATTAGCCAAACTTACTTCAAAGAGTCCAGATTTAAATAATGTTTGCAAAATTCAAGCTTTATTTTAAGAATACCATGAAGTTTCAGTCCATAGATGTGAAAAAAGTCTTTATTTTCAATATTCAATCTCTTATTGTCATTCAATACTTGTTATTTTAATATAGAAGTAAATTATGAATTTCAGGGAGAACTGCCAATTCTCCTATACAGGAATAAACTGGACTAGAAATTCTGCATCAAATTTTGCAATTTAACTGGAAAATATTTTGCAGTGAAATTATCCGGACACACCATAGAAACATGAAGAAATATCTAAAATCTCTCAGCAACCAGAGATCAATTACACTTTAAGAATACTTTGAGTCATGAGCAGAACAAACAAGACATACAGCTAAATTTAAATTTACTGAATCAGACCTTGAAAAAATAGGCTCCTATTTTTCTCATCTCTTTTGTGTATACCCCTTTCTATAATATCTATATCAACATTTCACACTGTATATCTCAGTCTATTACCATGCGTTTGCCAAAAATTATTGAGAGTCCGGAATTCTCATACATTTCTGTGGGAGTGTAAAATGGTACAATCAATTTGGATAAAATGTTAGCAGTTTTGTAAAAAGTTAGACATATATTTACCCTATGAGTCATCAAATCCACTTCTAGGAATACATACGAAAGAAAGAAACACCTATGTCCACAGAAAGCTTGTACAAGAATACTCCTAACAAATTTATTCACAGTAGTAAAAATGTAGAAATAATATTGTACCAGTCAAGAGAAAAAAAATTGATAAACAAACAAATATACAATGAAATACCACTGAAAAGTAGGATTAAACTAGTGAAACATGCAGCAACATGACAATCTTAAAAACGGTATACCAAAAAAAACTAGACACAAAAGATCACATACGTATGATTTTGTTTATAAGAAAAAAGGCAAAAATAATCTACAATGGCAGAACACAGATTCACAGATGCATCAGAACTCACAAAGATTGACTGGGAAGGGACATGAGGGAAATTTTTCAGGGATATAGTGTTCTACATCTAGATGGGGTGTATGGATCACCTAGGTGTTTGCATCTGTCAAAGCTAGACAAGCTGTAATCTTGAGATCAGTGCACTACAATATATATAAATAATACTTTGATTTAAACAACAATTTTATATAAGTCTAAAAAAACAGTTAAAGTAGATTTTCTATGATAGTACTAATGGTACTATATTTGGCATTAAATAGCACTAATGGATTAGTAGTACTAATAGACTACATTGTACTGATAGATACTGTTAATCTCCAAAGAAGCTGTAATAAGTAAACTTTATGGAATAGAACATATTAAGGAACACCTTTAGAGATTAAGCTTCCTTAGAACACAACATAGGGGTAAGACACACAATGCTTACAAAAAAGTACATAGAAAAATCATATGTGTATGTGCATGTAAGATAATAGCAGAATGATAGAAGTAAGACCAAACTAAAAAGACATCTATTTCCATGGTATAATGACACATATCATATCTTTGGTACCACCTGTTTATAAGGTCAGAAAGGAAATGAAAATTGTTACTGAGCCTGCAGAGATTAGAGGAGACAACTGGAAAGAATAACAAAGGGAGATACACAGGACAGTAAAAGCACAGGCAATTGACTTTAATTTAAAGAAGCAAGCCAGTTGTATGGGAAGAGTCAGGAATTTTATTTTTGGCTCTGTTTCAGACATAGTCAGGGGCCCCTGGGCAATTCACACATACAATTTATGACACTCTGGTTGGCTTAGTATATCTGACCCGAGAGTTTGTAATTATCTGTGACTGGTGACAGCTGTCGTTGGAGTACAGTGAGCAAGGTGATCCCTCTGTGCTCCATGCTTTGGGAGACACCAAAGCTACAACAGAAAATGTGGTAGTGAAGGAAATGAAATATTATTAGCCAGAATTAATTGTAAACGGGTCACCTTGTGAATAATGTTTATAGGTGTAATCCTCACTGTAATAGTGCCCAGGTGTTTAAAAACTTTCAGAGAACCACAAAGTATTCTTCCAGGGCTGAAGGGAGGGAGTTGGGCCGGAGTGACTCAGGTAGAGACTCTGATGCTAAGAGATAATTTATATAACCACGATTACCAACACTAGTGGATGAGGAGGCCTTTGAACCTTTCACCTCAAGCCTTTGTGCCAGATATTTACATTTTGCAGATACTCTTCTCTTTCAAGAAAAATGTTAATTTGTTCACCGTAAACAAATATTATGCATATAAACAAAGCCAGCAATGATTTATCATCTGTTCTCCTACATGAAACAAAATTCATTTTTTAAATGATGTCTTCTACAGTGAAGTGTGGACATATCCAGGGCTTTATTGGTCTTGATAGTCATGTTTCCGATCTCATGTCCAGTAGCCACCAAAATAGAACCTCACACTTATTCAATACAAACAAATTGCAGATAAAAAAAAACAGGATGAAGAAAGAATAAATAAATGCATGGGAAAAGAAGTAGCTGGATAAATGGATGGATGACGTAGTTCAACATTATATGTCAACTGAGTAGAATAATATAAAATAAACCTAAAGATGAATGTCAGGGCTTTTGGCTTTCTTAAGATGGAATAGTCCCATTTCTTGCTAGTCTTCTCTTATACAACTAAAAATTCTGGGCATAATTACAATAAGAAAACACAGAAAGACTGAAAGGCCAAAAAAGAAGGTAGACTGGCTAGGAACCTCAGTACTTGAAGAACAGCATGGAAATTAGTTCCTTGGGTTTTCTTTTTCCTTCCATATGTCTTAGTTGGAGCACTGGAGAAAACTGGAACCTAGAACTACTAACAGACACAGACAATTTTAAAAGCCCCAATTAAAAGCCTATATAGGCATACTTCATGTTTTTGTGTTTCCTATTATTGTGTTTCAGAGAAATTGCATTTTTTACAAATTGAAGTTTTGTGGCAACCCTACTCTGAGCAAGTCTGTCGACGGCAAACTTCCAACAGCATGTGCTCACATTGTGTCTCTGGGTCACATTTTGGTGATTCTGACAATATTTCAAACTTTTTCATTATTATTATTTCTAGTATTAATATTATGATCTATAATCAGTTGTCTTTGCTGTTACTATTGTAACTGTTTTGGGGTGCCATGAACTGTGCCCACAGTGAACTTAATAGATGTTGTGTGACTGCTCCACTGACCAGCATTCACCCATCTCTTTCCCTCTCCTTTGCCTCTCTATTCCCTGAGACACAACAATATTGAAATTAGACCAATTAATAACCCTACAATGGGCTCCAAGTGATTAAGTGAAAGAAAAAGTTACATATCTCTCACGTTAAGTCAAAACCTAGAAATATTTAAGCTTAGTGAGGAAGGCATGTTGAAAGCTGAGACAGGCCAAAATCTAGGCCTTGTGCCCGTTAGTCAAATCATGAATGCCAAAAAAAAAAAAAAGTTCTTGAAGAAAATTAAAAGTGCAACTCCAGTGAACACATGAATGACAACAAAGGGAACTAGCTGTATTGATGATATGGACAGTCTTTGAGTGGTCTGAATAGAAGGTCAAACCCAGTAATAACATTCCCTTAAGCCAAAGCCTAATATAAACAAAGGCCCTAACTTTTAAAAAAAAATTCTGTGAAGGCTGACAGAAGTAAGGAAGCTGCAGAAAAATAATTTGAAGCTAGAAGACGTTGTTTCATGAGGATTAAACAAAGAGGCTGCCTTCATAGCAAAATTGCAAGGTGAATTAATAAGTGTTCATGTAGAAGCTGAAGCAAGTGATCCATAAGATATAGCTAAGATCATTGATGAAGGTGCCTGCACTACACAACAAATTGCCAATGTAGATGAAACAGCCTTCTATTAGAATAAGATGCCATCTAGCACTTTCATAGCTAGAGAAAAGAAGTCAACACCTGGCTTCGAAGCTTCAAAGGGAAGGCTGACTCTTCTGTGGGGGCTAATGCAGCTAATGATTTTAAGCTAGAACCAATGCTTATTTACAATTCTAAAAATCCTTAAGAATTTTATACTACACCTAGTCTGCCTATGTTCTATAAATGAAACAATAAAGCCTGGATGACAGCACATCTGTTTAGAATATGGTTTACTGAATACTTTAAGACCACTGTTCAGATCTACTGCTCAGAAAAAGAGATTCCTTTAAAAATATTACTGCTCATTGACAATGCACCTAGTCACCTTAGAGCAGGGATGGAGATTTACAAGGATATTAATAATTTTTTTCTACATGCTAACACAACATCCATTCTGTAGCCCATGGATCAGGGAGGAATTTCAACTTTCAAGCCTTCTTATTTAAATAACACATTTAATAAGGCTATAGCGGCCATGGATAGTTATTCCTCTAATGGATTTGGGCAAAGCAAGTTGAAAACCTTCTGGATAGGATCCATGATTCAGGATTCAGGACATTCATGATTCATGGAAGGTTCAAATAAACAGGAGTTTGAAAGAAGTTTATTCAAATCCTCATAAATGACTTGAAGGAGTTAAAGGATTCAGGGACAAAAGGAAGTGCAGATATAATGGAGCTAGCAAGATAACTAGAATTAGAAGCAGCCCCTGAAGCTGTAACTGAATTGCTGCAAACTCATAATAAAACTTGAACAGATGAGGAGTTGCTTCTTATGGATGAGCAAAGAAAGTGCTTTTTTGAGATGGAATCTATTTCTGGTAAAAATGCTATGAACATTGTTGAAGTGACGACCAAGGGTTTAGAATATTACGTAAATTCAGTGGATAAAGCAGCAGCAGCAGGGTTTGAAGATCTACTATGGATAAAATGCTATCAACATCATTTACTACAGAAAAATCTTTCATTAAAGAAAGAGTCCATTGATGCAGCAAACTTTCTGTTGTCTCATTTTAAGAAATTGCCATAGTCATCTGAACCGTCAGGAACTGCCACCCTGATCAGTCAATAGCCAGAACATTGAGGCAACATCTTCTACCAGCAAAAAGATTATGAGTCACTGAAGGATCAGATAATTATTAGCATTTTTATCAATAAAGTGTTTTTTAATTTAGATATGTATATTTTTAGACACAGTGCTATGGTACACTTAATAGACTGTAGTATAGTATAAATATAACTTTTATGTGCACTGGATAATTAAAAAGTTTGTGTGATTCACTTTATTGTGATAGTTACATTATTGCAATAGTCTGGGACCAAACCCACAGTATCTTCGAGGTATGCCTGTACCCTCTAACAAAAGGACCAGAAAAAGGTTGTGTAGAGTATAAAAGACATTTTTAATAATACCCATCCTAATCCAGACAAGCATAAAAGGAAAAAATGCCTTTTTCCTGAAGAATCAGTGGGGTTGTTAAAGAGTTAAAGTTTTCATTCTGTCCAATGACAGAAGGTAGGTCATGTCAGTCTTCCACTTCCCTTTGCCTGACTTATGTCAATAGGAAAATAGAAAGTATAACTTTTATGTACATAGATAAACAATGAGGTGAAATTAGATGGTACAAATGTGATGTTAATTGGCATTCTGATTTCTTCACTGTTATAGTAATACTATCAATGGGGCCTACTGTGGTAAACTGAGCTTTTGCCCCAACCAGGGCTTTACTCTACACCTACATAGTGTGACTCCCTGGCAGAAAAAAAGGGATATTAAATAAGACCTAAGGTCTAACAACATACTTTCCACAATGCCAAGGAAAGAATTTTTAAAAACCTATCCTTTCTAAGAATAAGAAAAATCTGAACTTACATGACAAAAGGCAATAAACAGATACCAGCACCAAGATGATACAGGTTATGAAAATATCTGACAAAAATATTAAAGAAGCTATCACTGATATTTTCAGTAAGCAATCTCAGAAACACTTGAAACAAATAAACAATAGAAAGTCTCAGCAAATAACAAAATATAAAGAAGCCAATGAAAATTTTAAAATAAAATATAAATTAATCAAATAAAGTACTTGATGATGTGTTTTACAGCAGAATGGAGGGCACAAAAAAATAAATTTATAAACTCAAATATAGAATAGCAGACATTACCCAATCTAAACAATGGAAAAATAATAGAAGGAAGGAAGGAAGGAAGAGAGAGAGAGAGAGAAGAAAGAAGAAAAGAAACAAAGAAAGAAAGAAAGAAAGAGAAAGAAAGAAAGAAAGAAAGAAAGAAAGAAAGAAAGAAAGAAAGAGAAAGAAAGAAAGAAAGGAAGGAAGGAAGGAAGGAAGGAAAGAAGGGAAGAAAGAAAGAAAGAAAGAGAAAGAGAGAGAACAAGGCTTCTGAGATCTGAAGACCTAAAACAAAAGATCTTACTTTCATGTCATCAGAGCCATAAAAAAGAAAAAAGAAATGTGGTGGGTCTTAAAAAGCATTAAAAAAAACCCAAAAACCTATGACTGAGGAATTCAAACTTTAGCAAAAAGACATAAACTTACAGATCCAAAAAGCTGAGAAAAATTCCAAACAGAATAAACCCAAAGAAATCGATGCCAACACTCAACATAGTGAAACTTTTGAAAATTAAAAACAAAAATATCTTTAAAGCAGCCATAAAGAAATGTTTCTTTATCTATAGAGGAACAACACTGTGAATGAGAGCAAATTTGTCATCAGAAACCATGGAGGTCAAAAGGAAATGGCATATTTTTCACTGCTGACAAAACAACAACAAACAAGCAACAAAAAACCATGTCAACTTGGAATTCTATATCCAGCAAAAATATCCTTCAGAAACAAAGGTTAAATGAAGACACTCTCAGATGAAAAAAATCTAAGAGAATTTGATATCAACAGGCCTTCCTAAAATAATGTCTGAAGCAAGTTTTTTCAAACAGAAATAAAATAATAAAGAAAGGAAACTTGGAACATCAAGAATGAATAGAGAAAAATGGAAAAAGTAGAAATATGGGTAAATATAGTATACTATCTTTCTCATCTTGGGTCTTCTAAATTATGTCAGGTGGGTGAAACAAAAATCATACCATTGTCTGATATGATTTCTAATATATACAGACAAAACATTAAAGACATTTGTAATAAAAGGGGAGAGGGTAAAGGAATGAAAAATGTGATTAAGATTTTATACTTTTTGTCATTGGCTAATACAGAAATTAAAATTTAAGCCATGTTAAAACATTACTCTTCATGTATTAGAAGAGCACAATTAAAAAGACTGACAATACCAAAAGTTGGTGAGAATGCAGAGAAACTGGATCTCACATACATTGTTGGTGTGAATGTAAATGATATGCCTATTCTGGGAGATAGTTTGGCAGTTTTTTAAAGACTAAAATATAATATGACTCAGAAATTACACTCCTGGAAATATGTCCCAGAGAAATAAAATATTACATTACACAAAACATTGACGCAGAATTATAGGCTCTAACAGTCTGATCCCGATGACTAAACAGTTAGATACATAATGCATCCTTCTTCAGGCTGGAGATCAGGAGTCTCTTCTTTACAAAGCATAACTCTAAAAGGGCTTGGAATGGGGAATTCTAGGCATAGTGAAGAGCTGGGGTGAAGTATTGGAAGACAACAGAAATTAGTTAAAAGTCTACATATTAAACTGTGTGATTCTCAAACTCCTTTCCCTACTAGAAGAAGATTGTAACACATACATCACCCTACCACCCCACATTCTGGCCACTTCACATCACAGGTGAGGATTAGAAGGCTCATCTTTGGAAAAACTAATTAATCCTAAAGAAAAAAATTATCTAGAGTTTCTGCATATTGACATAAGAAACATGTATTTCTCCTCCTCTAGATGTTGGTAATACCTAGTGCTGTTAGAATCTACTGTGACCATAATGGAATATACCAAAATTTGCAAGTTTCAAGACTGCCAAAACTCTGGGTCTATAATGAGTTTCTGAGCGATTGGATTAACCAGACATGAAGTCAAACTACTTCAGGACTTCTTGTTACTAGACATTTTATATAGTATTTTAAATTCTATATTTCCTAGGATGCTTTAGGTTTCAAAAAAACAGAAAACTTAATTCAAAAGAAAGAAAGAAATAATAAAATATAATAGCACAAGCAAAGGCAAGATAAGACATCCATGAAGAAGCACTGAAAGTTGATTTGATTAGTCCAGAAAGAAACATAAAATTCCATGAAAGAAGAAATGAAATTCACGTAACAAGAGATTCAACATGGGCAATTAGCAAAGGGAAGTCCAAGAATAGCACAAAGTCCTTAATGGCAGCGGTCCTAAAAGGCAAGAGTCCCACTGAATAAGACAGACAGAAAAGACTAGGGGCAACAAATGATAAACACTACTGATAGGCATTATGTGGAAACATTGAAGTGTTTAGGAGACTGATGTCAGCAAAATGGTGGAATAGGAAGTCTCCAGATCCACTCCTTCCCACAGAAAAGTTCAACTAGCAATTATTTGTAGATTAGAGTATTTTTTTTTTTTTTGAGATGCTCAACACCAAGAAAAACTCTGTACTCACCTCATAGGGAAGACTAGGCAAAATGGCAAAGCTTGACAACCCAGAGGTCAAGTAGACACAAAAACAGTGACCAACGCACAGTTCTTGGTATTACCTCTTTGTTCCTGCCAGCTGTGGCACTCAATAAGCTATATCAGCCAGCGTCATAGCCCACCTGCAAAACTGAGTAGGTTGCCTTCAGAAGTATGCTGGGAAGTAAAACCTA
The DNA here is from genome assembly GCF_000001405.40 of Homo sapiens. Classification (NCBI taxonomy): domain Eukaryota; kingdom Metazoa; phylum Chordata; class Mammalia; order Primates; family Hominidae; genus Homo; species Homo sapiens. Next base: position 110,486,887 of record NC_000003.12, read on the forward strand.
CATTAAGCCTCAATACTGCTAGTCTCCCTATCCAACCTTGGAACCCACCTTGACAACCCCACCCAGGCAGGGAGAAATGCAGCTCCACTCATTTCAGAGAAGTGAAGGAATTTAACCTGCTATATCCAGGAAGGCAAGCAGTAATTCCACACAGCCATAAAAGCCACCTAATGGTCCCATCCAAACAGAGACTCCTACATCTATGATTTCAGAGAAGCAAAGGAATTAGACCAGCTTGACCCAGGAATGCAGGCAGTGGTTCCACATAGCCCAACAGCCCATTCAATTACTCTACCCTTGTGCATTCTGGAGAAATGTAGGGGGTAGTCCTTCTTGATCTAGGAGGTCAAACAGCCACTCAGCTCAGCCAAAAGTCCACACGATGGCTCCACCCAGGCAGTAATACTCAACTGGGTATCCCTAAGAAGCCTAGCTTTACATCCTGCCAGTCCAGAGAAGCAACTCTACTTAACCTTGGAGCTCAATCTGCAGCCCTGCCCAATTTCAGATCCCAAATAGTGGAAATGTCTGGCCAAAGAAGATCTCCTGTAACCAGACTTACCAGAGTCCACTGAAGTACCCAGCCAGCAGCTCTGCCTGATAAAAGGACCCAGCCAGTGGTGTCACCAGTCAGTGGAGCCCAGCCAGTAGCACCATTCAATATCAGGGCAAAACCAGTGGTCCAGTCAACTAGAAAACTCACAACAAGTTCTGCCTGCCCTGGGTTATTATCAGTTGGCCCTTCCAAAATAATGAGGTAGACTAAATAGAGAAGTTTCATCCCTCACAAAGAAAAACTGTAAAGGCTAGAGGAGATGGCTCTTCCTTAGAATACACAGACAACAATGCAAGAATATAAGAATTACCAAAAAATCAGGGAATCATGAAAACTTCAAAGTACACTAATAAAGCTCCAGTAATGGACATCAAAGAAATGAGGTGTATGAAATGACTGACAAAGAATTCAGAAGAAGATTCATGAAGAAGTTTAGTAAACTACAATAATATACAAATGTTAAATGTAACACAATTTGCATGAAAACATGAGATTAACAAAGAAATAGAAATAATAGCAAAGAGCTCACTGGAAATCCTAGAGGTGAAAAATGCAAGGACTAAGTTGAAAATTCAAAGGAAAGCTTCAGCAGCACACTCAACGAAACAAAATAAAGGATCAATGAGCTTAAAGAGAATTTAAGTATTGAGTAAGAGGAGCAAAAAGACAAAAGAGTAAAAAAGAACAAAAAGAAAGCTTATAGGAATAATGGGATATTATCAAGAGATCAAACCTTCACATCATAAGAATTGCAGAAGGAAGAGAAAGAAAGAAAGAAAAAAGACCAGAAATCATATTTAAATAAATAACGGCTGGAAATTTCCCTAATCTGGGAAATTGCCAATACCCAGTATAGAAAGCATAGAGGTCTCAAATCAAATTTAACCCAAGAGGAGTATAGCAAGACATAACAAAAATCAAAGACAAACAAAAAACTTTAAAAGAAATATTGAAGTGTTTAGGTGAATATTAATAAAATTGTACAGCACAATGAGCAAATGAAGAATGAAGTAGGTATTGCCTTTAGAAATTTAACTCATGTAAAAAAAGTGGGGTTGTGATCTACTACTTATGAATATAATTTACATAGCCAAAATAATGTAAAAACTGATCATCGACTTAATCAAATACTCTAATATTACTGAGCTGGGGGTCAAGGGAGGATAAGCAAGATGGGACAGTAGCATAACAGAGAGCAATTGACTTCTATATTGGTGCAATTCAAGATAACATGTTTAATATTAATAAATCATACTGATTAGTTATGTAGAAAAATATCAAATTACCAGGAGGACTATGAATAGCTGAAGTGCTCTTGAAATCAATAGGCATATTCCTGTCTCATGGCCTTTGTATTTGTTGCCTAGAAACCTCTGATTCTAGATATCCTCTTAAGTAACTGCTGCACTTCCCTCAGGTGACAAAAGTCACCCTTCAATTAAGCTTGTCCTATAAAATCTATTTACTATTTTACCCCTCCCAATATTTCATATTTCCTTTCATACTGAATTATTTTTAGTTAACTCTTACCACCATCCAATGGATTGTATGTTATATGTACATTGTTCATTCATTTGTTTGTTGTTTTCTCCTCCATAAGAATGTACACTCCATATTAGCAAGGACTTCTATGGGTTTGTTCACTGCTAATTCATATCACTTAAACAGTGTCTGGAACATAGTAGGCATTCATTAGATATTAGGTGAATAAATAATACATGTTAAAAGTTATCTCTGAGAAGCAAAATGAGAGCTGTGAGGAGGAGGAATAGAGGCTTGCTGTTTTTGTCATTATAAGTCTTGTTGTCCTATGACATTTTTTTAAGTGAGCATTCACTCACTCAGATTGAAAAGTACATTAAAAATAAGATGAGCTAGGTCAAATATTAAAAAAATCTTGTTCTAATATGATATTGAGTCTGAAAAACATTTGGGTAATCCCTTGGTGGTTTCTGGAGGCATGAAAATTTAACTTAATTTGATACCTGAAATGGAGAAACAAGTACTAAATAATGAGGAAGTGGGGAAGATTAGCTGTTAGGCCATCCACTTAAGACAATATTGAATGCTTCACAGAAGAGTTACTGGTGAAAGTAATTAAACACAGGATCTAAAGAGATAAACTAGTGAAGATAATGTTGATTGTCTTTTAGTTCTTTAGAAATCAGTCCGGGAAGAAAAGAGGTTTTAATTTTTTTCTTGTAGTATAAAGCAATGTACTTCATTGTAAAATATTTAGAAAACAAGAATTGGCAAAAAGATGAAATTTAAAATCTCTATAATCCTGCTGAGTAGGAACATATACCTGTATATTCTTTCAATTTTATCCTAATAGGTATGTTTATGTTGGTATGTTTATGTATGCTTGCATATGTTTATACATCCTCTCTTGTTTTCAAATCAGAACTTGTGATACAAATACTTTCAAAGAGCAAGATTAGAAAACCTTTCTTCTTTCTCCTAGAAAACTGGCCAGCATTTGTACATTAATGACTTGCTAGCCACTATTGACTGAGGATAGATTGGAGCTATTGACCTTGAGGTTTAAGTTTCCATGTCACCTGTTACTAATCTCCTGAGACAGCTTGTCCCCAGACAATGTTTCTTTTGGGCATGTTTTGTCTAAGTCCATTTTCACAATAACCCACTAAGAACTTATTAATCTGAGAATGTTGAAAGCTGATCCTTTAAAAACCATACCATGTTCCTTGAGATGCCCATTAAACTTTGATCTTCCTATAGAAATTTCATAGTAGGTATAAACTGTCCTATGAAGAAAATTTCCTTCTGTTGCTGATAAAAAGGAATATTTTAGGTAAGAAGAGTTTGTTAAGATAACTATGCGAAATTCAAACACATAAGGAGCTCACCAAACCATAGATTTCCAAAACACAAATATATTTTTTCCAATTATCATGGTCCTTTTTTGAAAACATAAATTTCAAGTGTTTTGTTTCCTTCATTCTCTCTTATAGATCTTGCACAGAGTATCTGACGTAGTCATGACATAGCTGAAGAGTCACTTATTCCAAGCCTATGCATACATAGAAAAAACAAAAACACATAACGTTTGCCTTAAATTTACCATTTTTTCTAATTTTTCCCATCACAGGCATATGAAATAGTACCTAACTGAAGTCAGGACAAAGGAAAATTTCCTGTGACATAATTGACATTGAAATTCTAAAGTGAATTCATATCAGAATAGCATTAGACAATTGTTACATATGCAACGTTCATATTATAAATGCCTATATATGTACATATATATATTCATATACATATATATATATACACACATATAGGTCTAACAAAAAAACAAAGCCATTCATCTCTGCAGAAAATCACGCATCTGCTTTGCCACCAATTTAGCACACTAATTGACATTATACAACAATATGACCATATATAAACCTTTCAGTACTAATTCACTTATTTACTTACAATTTAATTTGTTTAAATAATCACTTTAGCAAAGCAGATCTAATTCCTTAAAGTATCTACAGTCTAAAATTCACTTAAGTGTTAAACTCATTGTATCTTCAGAAATGTTCAATGCCAGCATTTTTATTGTCCGGATTGGCTTTTGGCACTTATCTGTTACAATAACAATTTTTAGGGTGGGGGGAGCATTTTCTAATTGGATAAAAATACATCCATTTGAACTGGACTGGAAATCTAATCTTAATAAATAGGGGGAGAGGAAGAGACGTACTATTCTGCCTTCTGAGGGAGTATGTCATAGCATAGCTTAGATCTAAATGTATACTTCACTTTTAATTTTTAAATGGTGGATAAAATGGTCTTGTCCTTTTTTCATCTTGAAAAGCATGTGAAAAAAAGAGAAGGACAAGAAACAAATAAAACTTCCATCTTAAGAGAAATAGAAAATATTCATAACTCAAATAACAATGTGTGAGAAGCTATCTCAAATGTAGTGAAGGTACAATGGGTATAAAAAATAACCAGGGTAAGAGAAGCTACAAATTTCATCAGTGCATAGCTGTCCACAGGGCATAGCACACCTTGAGGGGAAGAAAAAACAGAATTCGATATCAGAAATAATAAAAATGAAGCGTGGAAACTGGTGTTAGAGTCTTCTCTTTTGTTTCCATAGGAAACCTTCTGTTAGGGAAAGAGACTCTGAATCACAATGATCTCAGTAGCTGCAAATTGTGCTGGCTGAAGAAAACAGTGAACCGGTTGACCAAATGCATGAGGCCATACAGCTCTGGGTCATAAGGAATTTTTGTGTGAATTGGGAGGAATATCTGCTATTTGAGAACTTGTTCCACTTACTTTTCCCATGAATATTCTGTAATTAAATCATCTCGTTAAGACTCATCCTATTCAGAGGTGAGGAAATAATAAATAAATTAAAAATGATTAAGAAAAAAACATAAGAGAAAGAACAGGATGAATGAACCACAGATGGAGAAAAATGTTATCAAAAAACAGCATGCTTCCTTAAATTCAAGTAACTTAAGAAATCAAGAAAAATTGTCACAGCAAAGATACAATACCTCAAGGTAGCAATGGTGAGACAGGAGGACACAAAATATGAGCTAACAATCGTCAGTAGAAAAAAAGAGAGAGAGAGAGAGAAAAGAAAAATCATAACATAAGGCAATATTTACATAGACATGGATAAAAAACATAGAGAATAATGAAGTGAAAATGTAAGGGTGTATAGAGAAAATATGAGATAGGGAAGACAGTCAAAGGAGATATCACATGACTATAACTACTCCCAAGAAAAAAAATTATTCTTCCTAGAGAAAATATATTTAAATGACATATAAATTAGAAATGTTTCTGAAAGTAAAAAGTTGAATTTACAAATTGAAAGAGTATACTTGATGCCAGAAAAAAAAGTATGTAGAGTTATAAGCACCAAAAAATATCCCAATAAAATTACTGGACTTAAAAAAAATAAAAAAGAATTCTGTCATCCATTAAAAAAGCAAACAACAACAACAAAAAACTTAGATTGTCCTCAGACACACTGCCAGCAACATCATTCAACACCAGGATACAGTGGGGCAATACCCAAAGATTTCAAGATGGAAATAAACATTGAGATACAATATTACTATATCCAACAAACTATTGGTCTCAGGCCAACAGTGCTCTTGGGTCAAATATGGTATCTGGAAAATAGTAAATGGATCAATAAATGAATGAACTTTTTGATAGCTTGTGTTAATTAATTTCATTCCCTATTAGAAATCCACAGGAGGGTATTAGCAAACTTAGTGATATGAGAGTAGAGCTCAGGAGGAAAGAGGTCACATTCAATATCAATTAGATAAAAGTATAAGCCAGGAAGTAGATACAAAGCTCAAGAAAAAAATCACAGCTTTCAAGAACAATGTCATTTTAGAACCAGATAGACAGTAATGGCACAAGCAAGAGTAGGATTTTTGACAGGCACTGTTGTAAATCCTCTATATTGGTCAACTCATTTTATTCTCACAAGAACTGTGTAAGTGGGGAATATTACTATTATTGCATCCATTTTACAGACGAAGAATCTGAGGCATAAATTTTTAAAGTCATTTGCCTAACATAGCTATTAGCTGCACATGCTGTAATGAACAAAGTCCAGTTTCACATAGGCAATTGTTTCCAGTAAAGAAGAAGGACCATTAGGAGAATGCAATGCAAGGAAAAAGAGAATTTCAAGGCAATAAAATAGACAGTAATGTCAGACATTGTAGAGAGGTCAAGCAGAATTTGGCAATTAGCTAGACTTTTATGATAGTTTAGAAAATAATCTCGGCAAGTACTGAAGGCAGAAACAGACTAGGGTGAAAAGAGTAAGTGTAGACAAGATAAATGAAACTGTAAGCACAGATAAATAATTAGAAGCATTTGACAGAGAAAAGGAGACATGGATATCCCCCGAAATGTTCTGGATTTTCTGTCTTTTCTCTGTAAGGAAAGTCTGAACATTCAACCATTACTTTAACCTAATTAGAGAACCACATCTTAATAATATACATATATTAGGCATTCAAATTTTATCTCCTTGTCTTCAATAGTGTTTTATTGACTTGTAAGCCATGCAGCATATAAAGGAGAGCAGCAAAATGTAACATCAGCAGCTGTCTGGTTTTTCCTGGATTTGCCTTGCTACTTACTAGGCAAACCCATTTACAGGACTATTTTGCTTCCTTGTTCAAAGCTTTGGGGCTTTTTTTTCTTGTTCATGTTATAGTGTATGATATTGTTTACTTAGAATAGTGATCTCAGTAACTAAGCAACTAAAAATAAAACCCTGATGTTGAAAGATATCATACAACCCAAATAACATGCTGCAGAGTAATTAATTGTGCTTTTACTTAAATAAGAAATGGGGTTTTGAACTCTATTGCCTCCTCTTTGGTTACCTAGTGATATTGCCCAGTAACAGTCTGTCTTCCCAATCTGAGTCAAATAAATCAGGTCTGCATATGCTGCAGATTTCAAAATTGCAAATTTACACTGCAGAATAGGTCCCTCAAGGCCATGATGGCACATATAAATAGTGATGACACATTCAGGAGGTTTAGGTACTTTTCTCCAGTAGTACAAAGGGAGCATCTTCTTTAAAAATGACAAAAATAGTCAGCCAGCTGTTGGAGTGCTTTTTGACCAGTTTCAAGATCATTTCTTTCTTTCCTTTGATGATGGCAGCTAGCTACCTTTCCTTAGCCATCTCCTCTTCTAAGTTTCTTACAGCATCTGGGAGTTGAACTAAGGAGAGATTTTGTGTTTGTGCTGTCACAAAACAATCTGTCACTACTCGGAAGCAGCAGAAAATATGTATATAAAGCATTATATATAAAAGAGGCTGTCCTACAGTTGGCAGGAGAGAGATGTGTGAACAGATACAAACAAGACTGTATTATTCATGCCAGCACTGTAAGACATAGATTTTTGTGAAATTGAACTCTGAGCAAATATCCCAGGCTACACAAACTGGTAGCAGAGGTTCTAAATTGGAATAAAGCCCCTACTGACTTTAGGCTCTTGATAGTATGTATGGCCTTCACCCATGCAGACATTTGTGAATAAATAAATATTCATTGCTATGAGTTTTCTATAAGAGCTAAGATAGTTAACTAGAATCTCCGAAAGGTAAGAATATTTAATCATCAACCATCTGGCCCCTCCTTAAACTCTCATGTATATAAGACTTTGTATATGGCTCTTGTGTTCATATGCACAACAATAAAAATTTGTATGCCACTTTCTTTCTATTAAAAAAAAAAGAATACAGGATTCCTGGGCAAGATGGCCAAATAGGAACAGCTCCAATATGCAGCTCCCAGCGAGACCAACACAGAAGGTAGGTGATTTCTTCATTTCCAACGGAGGTACCCGGTTCATCTCACTGGGACTGGTTAGAGAGTGGGTGCAGCCCACGGAGGGCAAGCAGAAGCAGGGTAGGGCATTGCCTCAACCAGGAAGTGAAAGGGGTTGGGGAACTCCCTCCCCTACCCAAAGGAAGCCTTGAAGGACGGTGCCATGACAGACAGTGCTTGCCAGCCCAGATACTACGCTTTTCCCACAGTCTTTGCAACTCCCAGACCAGGAGATTCCCTCGGGTGCCTATACCACCAGGGCCCTGGGTTTCAAGCACAAAACTGGGCGGCTGTTTGGGCAGACACAGACCTACTGGGCTAGCTGCAGGAATTTTTTTTCATACCCCAGTGAAGACTGGAACCCCAGTGAGACAGAACTGTTCACTCCCCTGGAAAGGGAGATGAAGTCAGGGAGCCAAGTGGTCTTGCTCAGAGGATCCCACCCCTATGGAGCCCAGCAAGCTAAAATCTACTGGCTTGAAATTCTTGCTGCCAGCTCAGCAGCCTGAAGTCGACCTGGGACACTCGAACTTGGTGGAGGGAGTGGCATTCGCCATTACTGAGGCTTGAGTAGGAGGTTTTCCCCTCACAGTGTAAACAAAGCCACCAGGAAGTTCGGACTGGGCGGATCCTACTGCAGCACCACAAAGCTGTGGTAGCCAGACCTCCTCTCTAGATTCCTCCTGTCTGGGTAGGGCATCTCTGAAAGAAAGGCAGCAGCCCCAGTCAGGAGCTTATAGATAAAATTCCCGTCTCCCTGGGAAGAGCACCTGGGGGAAGGGGCAGCTGTGGGTGCAGCTTCAACTGACTTAAAAGTTCCTGCCGGCCAACTCTGAAGAGAGCAGTGGATCTCTCAGCACAGCACTTGAGCTCTGCTAGAGGAAAGACTGCCTCCTCTTTCCTGGGTGGGTCCCTGAGCCCCGTGCCTCCTGAAAGGGAGACACCTCCCAGCAGAGGTCGACAGACACCTCATACAGGAGAGCTGCAGCTGGCATCTGGCAGGTACTCCTCTGGGACAAAAGCTTCCAAAGGAAGGAGCAAGCAGTAATCTTTGCTGTTCTGCAGCCTCTGCTGGTGATACTCAGGCAAATAGGGTCTAGAGTGGACCTCCAGCAAACTCCAGCAGACCTGCAGAAGATAGGCCTGACTGTTAGAAGGAAAACCAACAAACAGAAAGAAATAGCATCAACATCAACAAAAACGGCGACCACGTAAAAACTCCATCTGAAGGTCACCAACAGCAAAGACCAAAGGTAGATAAACCCATGAAGATGAGGGAAAACCAGCACAAAAAGGCTGAAAATTCCAAAAAAACAGAATGGCTCTTCTCCTCCAAAGGATCACAACTCCTCACCAGCAAGGGAACAAAACTGGACAGATAATGAGTTTGACAAATTGATAGAAGTAGGCTTCAGAAGGTGAGTAATAACAAAGTCCTCTGAGCTAAAGGAGCATGTTCTAACCCAATGCAAGGAAGCTAAGAACCTTGATAAAATGTTACAGGAACCGCTAACTAGAATAACCAGTTTAGAGAAGAACATAAATGACCTGATGGAGCCGAAAAACACAGCACGAGAACTTCGTGAAGCATATACAGGTATCAATAACCGAATCGATCGAGTGGAAGAAAGGATATCAGAGATTGAAGATCAACTTAATGAAATAAAGCATGAGACAAGATTAGAGAAAAAAGAATGAAAAGGAACAAGCAAAGCCTCCAGGAAATATGGGCCTATGTGAAAAGACCAAACCTACATTTGATTTGTGTACCTGAAAATGACAGGAGAATGGAACCAAGTTGGGAAACACACATCAGGATATTATCCAGGAGAATATCCCCAACCTAGCAAGGCAGGCCAACATTCAAATTCAGGAAATACAGAGAGCACCACAAAGATACTCCTTGAGAAGAGCAACCACAAGACACATGATCTTCAGATTCACCAAGCTTGAAATGAAGAAAAAAATGTTAGGGGCAGCCAGAGAGAAAGGCTGGGTTACCCACAGTGGGAAGCTCATCAGACTAACAGCGGATCTCTTGGCAGAAACCCTAAAAGCCAGAAGAGAGTGGGGGCCAACATTCAACATTCTTAAAAAAAGAATTTTCAAGCCAGAATTTCATATCCAGCCAATTAAGCTTCATAAGTGAAGGAGAAATAAAATCCTTTACAGTCAAGCAAATGCTGAGGGATTTTGTGACCACTAGGCCTGCCTTACAAGAGCTCCTGAAAAAAAGCACTAAATATGGAAAGGAACAGCTGGTACCAGCCACTGCAAAAACATATCAAAATGTAAATACCATCGACACTATAAAGAAACTCCATCAACTAATGGGCAAAATAACCTGCTAGCATCATAATGACAGAATCAAATTCACACATAACAATATTAACCTTAAGTGTAAATAGGCTAAATGCCCCAATTAAAAGACACAAACTGGCAAATTGGATAAAGAGTCAAGACCCATCGGTGTGCTATATTCAGGAAACCCATCTCATGTGCAAAGACACACATAGGCACAAAATAAAGAGATAGAGGAAGATTTAACAAGCAAATGGAAAGCAAAAACAGCAGGGTTTGCAATCCTAGTCTCTGATAAAACAGACTTTAAACCAACAATGACCAAAAAAGACAAAGAAGGGCATTACAGAATGGTAAAGGGATCAATGCAACAAGAAGAGCTAACTATCCTAAATACATATGCACCCAATACAGGAGCACCCAGATTCATAAAGTAAGTTCTTAGAGACCTACAAAGAGACTTAGACTCTCACACAATAATAAATGGGAGACTTTAACACCCCACTGTCAATATTAGACAGATCAACGAAACAGAAAATTAACAAGGATATTCAGGACCTGAACTCAGCTCTGGACCAAGCCGACCTAATAGCCATCTACAGAAATCTCCATCCCAAATCAACAGAATACACATTCTTCTCAGTACCACATAGCACTTATTCTAAAATTGACCACATAATTGGAAGTAAAACACTCTTCAGCAAATGCAAAAGAATGGGAATAATAATAAACAGTCTCTCAGACCACAGTGCAATTAAATTAGAACTCGGGATTAAGAAACTCACTCAAAACCACACAACTACATGGAAACTGAACAACCTGCTCCTGAATGACTACTGGGTAAATAACAAAATTCAGGCAGAAATAAATAAGTTCTTTGAAACCAGTGAGAACAAAAACACAATATACCAGAATCTCTGGAACAGAGCTAAAGCAGTGTTTAGAGAAAAATGTATAGCACCAAATGCCCACAGGAAAAAGTGGGAAAGATCTAAAACTGACAGTCTAACATCACCATTAAAACAACTAGAGAAGCAAGAGCAAACAAATTCAAAAGCTAGCAGAAGACAATAAATAACAAAGATCAGAGCAGAACTGAAGGAGATAGAGACATGAAAAACACTTAAAAAATATTCAATGAATCCAGGAGCTGGCTTTTTGAAAAGATTAACAAAATAGATAGACCGCTAGCCAGACTAATAAAGAAGAAAAGAGAGAAGAATCAAAGAGACACAATAAAAAATGACAAAGGGGAGATCACCACTGATACCACAGAAATATAAACTATCATCAGAGAATACTATAAACATCTCTATGAAAAGAACCTAGAAAATCTAGAAGAAATGGATAAATTCCTGAATACATACACCCTCCCAAGACTAAATCAGGAAGAAGTCAAATCCCTGAATGGACCAATAAAATTTCTGAAATTGAGGCCGTAATTAATAGCCTAACAACCAAAAAAAGCCTAGGAACAGATGGATTTGCAACTGAATTTTACCAGACGTACAAAGAGCAGCTGGTACCATTCCTCCTAAAACTATTCCAAACAATAGAAAAAGAGAGATACCTCTCTAACTGATTTTATGAGGACAGCATCATCCTGATATTAAAACCTGTCAGAGACACAACAAAAAAAGAAAATTTCAGGCCAATATCCCTGATGAACATCGATGTGAAAATCCTCAATAAAATAATGGCAAATCAAATCCAGCAGCATATCAAAAAGCTTATCCACCACGATCAAGTCGGGTTCATCCCTGGGATGCAAGTCTAGTACAACATATGCAAATCAATAAATGCAATTCGTCACATAAACAGATTCAACGACAAAAACCACACGATTATCTCAATAGATACAGAAAAGGCCTTCGATAAAATTCAACACCCTTCATGCTAAAAACTCTCAATAAACTAGGTGTTGATGGAACATATCTCAAAATAATAAGTTATTTATGACAAACCCACAGCCAATATCATGCTGAATGGGCAAAAGCTGGAAGCAGTCTCTTTGAAAACCAGCACAAGACAAGGATGCCCTCTCTCACCACTCCTATTCAACATAGTATTGGAAGTTTTGGCCAGGGCAATCAGGCAAGAGAAAGAAATAAAGAGTATTCAAATAGGAAGAAAGGAAGTCAAATTATCTCTGTTTGCAGATGACATGATTGTATATTTATAAAAAACCATTCCATTGTCTTAGCCCAAAAACGTCTTAAGCCAATAAGCAATTTCAGCAAAGTCTCAGGATACAAAATCAACGTGCCAAAATCACAAGCATTCCTATACACAAATAATAGACAAAGAGCCAAATCATGAGTAAACTCCCATTCACCACTGCTACAAAGAGAATAAAATACCTAGAAATACAAGTTACAAGGGATGTGAAGGACCTCTTCAAGGAGAACTACAAACACTGCTCAAGGAAATAAGAGAGGACACAAACAAATGGAAAAACATTCCATGCTCATGGATAGGAAGAATCAATATTGTGAAAAAGGCCATGCTGCCCAAAGTAACTTATAGATTCAATGCTATCCCCATCAAGCTACAATTGACTTTCTTCACAGAATTAGAAAAAATTTTAATTTAAATTTCATATGGAACCAAAAAAAGAGCCCGTATAGCCAAGACAATTCTAAGCAAAAAGAATAAAGCTGGAGGCATCACGCTACCTGACTTCAAACTATTCTACAAGGCTACAGTAACCAAAAGAGCATGGTACTAGTACCACAACAGATATACGGACCAATGGAACAGAACAGAGACCTCAGAAATAACACCACACACGTGCCACCATCTGATCTTCCAGAAACCTGACAAAAACAAGGAATGGGGAAAAAATTCCCTATTTAATAAATGGTTTTGGGAAAACTGACTAGTCATATGCAGAAAACTGAAACTGGACCCTTTCCTTACATCTTATACAAAAGTTAACTCAAGATGGATTAAAGATTTAAACCTAACATGTAAAACCCTAAAAACCCTAGAAGAAAACTTAGGCAACCTGAATGGTAATTCAGGACATATGCATGGGAAAAGACTTCATGACTAAAACACCAAAAGCAATGGCAACAAAAGCCAAAATTGACAAATGGGATCTAATTAAACTAAAGAGCTTCTGCACAGCAAAAGAAACTATCATCAGAGTGAACAGGCAACCTACATAATGGGAGAACATTTTTGCAGTCTATCCCTCTGACTAAGGGTGAATATCCAGAATCTACAAGGAACTTAAACAAATTTACAAGAAATAAACAAACAACCCCATCAAAAAGTGGGCAAAGAATATGAACAGACACTTTTCCAAAGAAGACATTTATGCAGCCAAGAAACATATGAAAAAAAGCTCATCATCACCAATCATTAGAGAAATGCAAATCAAAACCACAATGAGATACGTTCTCATGCCAGCTTGAATGGTGGTCATTAAAAAGTCAGGAAACAACAGATGCTGGAGATGATGTGGAGAAATAGGAATGCTTTTTTTTTTTCTTTTGAGATGGAGTCTCGCTCTATCGCCCAGGCTGGAGTGCAGTGGTGCGATCTCAGCTCACTGCAAGCTCCACCTCCCAGGTTCACACCATCCTCCTGCCTCAGCTTCCCAAGTATCTGGGACTACAGGCACCCACCAAAAAGCCCAGCTAATTTTTTGTATATTTAGTAGAGACGGGGTTTCACTGTGTTAGCCAGGATGGTCTTGATCTCTTGACCTCATGATCCGCCTGCCTCGGCCTCCCAAAGTGCTGGGATTATAGGCATGAGCCACCACGCCTGGCCAATAGGAATGCTTTTACACTGTTGGTGGGAGTGTAAATTAGTTCAACCATTGCAGAAGACAATGTGGTGATTCCTCAAGGATCTAGAACTAGAAACACCATTTGAGCCAGCAATCCCATTAGTGGGTATATACCCAAAGGATTATAAATTTTTCTACTCTAAAGACACATACACATGTATGTTTATTGCAGGACTATTCACAATAGGAAAGATTTGAAACCAACTGAAAGGCCCATCAGTGATAGACTGGATAAAGAAAATGTGGCACATATACACCACAAAATACTATGCAGCCATAAAAAATAATAAGTTCATGACCTTTGCAGGGACATGGATGAAGCTGAAAACCATCATTTTCAGCAAATTAACACAGGAACAGAAACCTGAACACCACATGTTCTCACTCATAAGTGGGAGTTGAACAATGAGAACATATGGACACAGGGAAAGAAACATCACACACCGGGGGGCATGTCTGGGGGAGGGGATAAAGGGGAGGGATAGCATTAGGAGAAATACCTAATGTAGATGACTGGTTGATGGGTGTGGCAAACCACCATGGCACATGTATACCTATGTAACAAACCTGCACATTCTGCACATGTAAAAAAAAAAGAAAAGAATATAATCTTTCTTTTTTTTAAAAATAATTTCCAGCACATTACACAGTTTGGCATCTAATATGCTAATATGTACTCAGTAAACAAATGAAAAACCAACATTTCTCAACTCTGTCTGCTTCTCTCTCTCTCTCTCTCTATATATATATATATACGTGTATATATATATATATATACGTATATATGTATATATATGTAGTGTTAATTCTCTTCTAGTTGCACCAAAAGTAATGTCTTTTTTGTGACCAACTTAATCTTCAGAATAGCCCCAAACACGTTATAAGATATACACTCATCTATTGTTTCCCATTGGGACCTTCATACAGTATAATTATGAAACTCATCTTTTTTTTTTAACTACTTATTGGCCACCGCAGTCACCTTCTGATTACTCTCCACTCCACTCCCAATTTCAAACACAGCTTGTCTGATCCTCCTATTTTCAGGACACTACTATTAGTTTCTGCAATGCTCTGTCCTCTGTCTTTCAGGCTGCAAGAGGTTTCAAGATGGCCAAGATCATGGGCTAGGATAGGTGAGAGGGACATTGTGCAGGCCAATCCTGGAAAGCAGTACATAATTAACATCTACTTATGTGAAGCCATGGTCAGGCTCACCCTCTTACAAGGATTCATCAGAACCACTGCATGTATTACTTGGGTATGTGGATTTAGCCTAAAGAAACAGAGTTTGTCTTGCACGTTACCTTATTTGAACTTAACATCATATAATTGATATTGTTGAATTGTTTTCTTTTCTTTTTCTTTTTATTTATTTATTTATTTGTTGAGATGGAGTTTCACTCTGTCACCCAGGCTAGAGTGCAGTGGCATGATCTCAGCTTACTGCAACCTCTGCCTCCTGGGTTTCAGCAATTGTCCTGCTTCAGCCTACTGAGTACCTGGGATTACAGGTGTGCGCCACCACACCCGGCTCCTTTTTATATTTTTAATAGAGACGGGGTTTCACGATGTTGGTCAGGCTGGTCTCAAACTCCTGACCTTGTGATCTGCCTGCCTCGACCTGCCAAAGTGCTGACACTACAGGCATGAGCCACTGCACCCAGCCCGATTATTTTCTTTTATATATATAAAAAAATCTATGCTCAGCAGAACTTACACATAAAAATTATGAAGTGTTTTTAAACTTGTCATTCCAAGAAAGTTATTTAAGCTCTCTAAACTTGTGTTTTCTTTTCTGTAAAAGACTTATAATAGGCCGGGAGTGGTGGCTCACGCCTGTAATCCCAGCACTTTGGGAGGCCAAGGCGGGTGGATCATGAGGTCAAGCGATCGAGACCATCCTGGCCAACCAACATGGTGAAACCTCGTCTCTACTAAAAATACAAATATTACCTGGGCATAGTGGCGCACACCTGTAGTCCCAGCTACTCGGGAGGCTGAGGCAGGAGAATCACTTGAACCTGGAGGGGGAGGTTGCAGTGAGCCAAGATCTTGCCACTGCACTCCAGCCCGGTGGACAGAGTGAGAGAAAAAAAAAAAAGATGTGTAATAATAGTATTGAACTCATAAGTTTGTCTGAAGACCAAAGAAGTTAATATATAAAGGTTTATTAGAAGAGTGTCTGACATAGAAATGTTAGCTGTTATTTTTTTGTAGCATTAGTACTGTTGTTAATATTATTATGTTCTAGAGAAACAGCATTAACTTTACAAACATAGACTTTTCGATGATGTCTATATAAAGAGTTTATACAGTGGATTTTGATTTTAAACCCAAGTTGAAAAAAGAATACATACAACATTTCTATCTGAAAGGTGTTATTTTAAAAAGACCTTTCTCCTAGGCAGGTGAATAAAAATCTAACAATGCTGAATATCTGTGTCACCCAGATCAGGTAGTTATTATTAACTTTCAACATTTTCTTTACAGCATTCTCAGGTATGACTCCTAATATTTTAAGATTTATCAGAGTGATTTTTGTGTGTGTGATTATGTAGGGCCAAATGTATCCTGGATGTAGGAAGTATGCCCAACTTTGTATCCTTTCTTTTTATAATTTGACACACAATTATGCCTGCTCTCACTTATTTGTGGGAGCTAAAAGTGAAAACAATTGAACTCATGGAGATAGAGAGTAGAAGAATGGTTACCAGAGGCTGTGACTGGTAGTGAAGGAGTGGGAAAGAAGTGGGGATGATAAATGGTTACAAAAAGAGAAAAAATGAATAAACCTAGTGTTTGCTAGTACAACAGGGGTGACTAGAGTCAAAAATAATTTAATTATACATTTTAATATAGCTAAAAGAATATAATTGAATTGATGTAACACAAAGGATAAATGCTGGAGGTCATGAATACCCCATTTACCCTGATGTGATTATTATGCATTACATGCCTCTATCCAAATCTCATGTACCCACAAATATATACACCTACTTCGTAATTACAAAAATTAAAAATAAAAAATTTGTAAAAAGGAATGTGGCATGGATTGTGTCAAAATACTATGAGATCATTCACATTTAAGTTTTATATTTTTAATTCTAAATGATTTCATCTCTACTAATAGATTAAATTTGAGGCAGAAGGTGGCATTTTCAGGCTTTTTTATAAAACTTGCTCCTCAAAATATACTTTTCTATCCTCAGCAGGAAAAAGGCAGTCATAAGTTCTTCAACTTAGCCTGTCTTTAACTCTGCCCCCTGAATTCATAAGAGTAAAAAAGAGCTGATTTTAAGCTACCTGTGAAGTGGGCAAAGTATGTCTTTAGTACCAGATAAGTGCTGTTTCGCTAAATGGGCAAGTTCTTTATCTGTCTTTATACACCTACAATGTTATCTGCTCTGGTCTTCAGCTCTAAGTCAAGGATTCCACACACGCACAGGCTGTAGAATCTTCCCTGGGCATATGTGCCTGCTCCCAGGACAGACCTCATGTGTCCACTGGCACAGAGGCTTGCCCCATGGAACCTGCCCTGTGTTACTCATCTAGCCACTGATTCCATGGGCAGTCAGGCCTCTCCTGGTCTTTGACAATACCTATTCATTCTTCACTACTGCCATTAATAATAAAAACTGTATCTTAAGTTGCCAAGCTGTTGAAATTGTCCAGCCCTGGCAATCTTGTTGAACGTGTTTGAGGTCGGTTTTCCTGCATGCACTGCCCACATCTGGCACACAGACAGTGTTCTGAAAGCCTTTGTCCCAAGAAACTTTAGAGATGCAGATTTTCTAGTTCTTTCAACCCTCTACAATCTACCATCAGAGAAGTTATAAGGTGTCTCATCTTTTGTGAATAGATTTATCTGGCCTGGTATGATGGCTTGTGCCTATAATCCCAGCACTTTGGGAGGCGAAGGTGAGAGGATAGCTTGAGGCCAGAAGTTTGAGACCAGCCTGAAAAGCACAGTAAAACCTGTCTCCTCAAATAATAATAATAAAGTAGCCCGGTGTAGTGATGCATGCCTGTAGTCTCAGTTACTTGGGAGGCTGATATGGTTTGGCTCTGGGCCCCACCCAAATCTTATCTTCAATTCCCACGTGTTGTGGGAGGGACCCAGTAGGAGATAATTGAATCATGGGGGCAGGTTTTTCCTGTGCTGTTCTTGTGATAGTGAGTAAGTCTCATGAGATCTGTCACTTTTATAAGGGCAAGTTTCCTTCCACAAGCTCTGTTTTTTTGCCTGCTGCCATCCATTTAAGGTGACTTGCTCCTCCTTGCTTTTCGCCATTATTATGAGGCTTCCCCAGCCACATGGAACTGTAAGTCCATTAAACCTCTTTCTTTATTAATTTGCTCAGTCTCAGGTATGTCTTTATCAGCAGCGTGAGAATTAACTAATACAGAGGCTAAGGCAGTTAGCAACTGCACCCCAGTCTGAGCAACAGAGCAAGACTCTGCTTCTGAAAAAAAAAAAAAAAAAAAAAAAAAGATTTTTCAGATGTGATCAGATGAGAGTCAGACTCTAATCCACCAAGCTCCAGGGATATATATGTAATACTTGACTTGGGAGACAAGGGTTCACCATTCCTCCTCCATGGCTAGAGCACTTTGGGAGGGAGAAAATATAAAGCATATTGATAGTTCTTTTTAAAAACCCCTTTTTAAAATCCATCTTGACATTTAGAAATACTTAGATACTGATAAGTATCAATAAATAATACTAATAAATAATAAAAAAAACTTAGATATTGATAAGGGGTTAGTAAGGAGTTAATTCATAAACTCGAATTGGCTACCTCCTGGCCAACACTTACATGATGGCCCCTCACTGAATTTTGAAGTGTTTTAGGGGTTCCAACAAAGCTGAGATTAAAATAGTTTTTGTTCATGTGTTTTTTCTTTTTTCTTTTTCTTTTCTTTTCTTTCTTTCTTTCTTTTTTTTTTTTTTTTCTTTTTGCAACAAGGTCTCACTCTGGTAGCCCAGGCTGGAGTGCAGTGACACAGTGGCACAATCTCAGCTCACTGCAGCCTCGATCTCCTGGGCTCAAGTGATTCTTCCACCTCAACCTCCTGAATAGCAGGCACTACCGGCATGTGCCACCATGCCGGACTAATTTTTTTGTGTTTCTGGTAGAGGTGAGATTTTACTATGTTGCCCAGGGTGGTCTCGAACTCCTGACTCAAGCAATCTGCCTGCCTTGGCCTCCCAGAGTGCTGGGGTTACAGATGTGAGCAACTGCACCCAGCCTAAAATAGTTTGATTTCAAAATAATATTAAGAATGCATAAAATACTATGGAAGTAGTAAAAGGAGACATCACTTTTGTTACATGAAACTCAAAAAGTTTACTGGCCAAATTGTCCAGAAAAATCCCACAGAAATTGAGATTTCATTGACCTTCAGGAAACTATGCTTTTTAAATAACAAGGCTATGGAAAGGATAGTGATTAATGGAATCTGAAGTAAATAATTGTAGCTTTTTCAAATATCAGTTGAAAGCATTATTTAAAAGGAGTCTTCCAAGTTTTGCAAAGATTTCTTCACATCCCTATGCCTATAATGACTACAAGATCAATTACTAGCAAAAGAAGACACAAAACTGTTAAGTGTATTTAGATTTTGTTTTCCACCAGTTCTGTGCAATATATTTTTTCATAAGATTTAAATTCAAAATAAGCTAAGTGTGTGTACAGAGGACCAATGGTAAAGAAATCACCAAATTAAAAAAAAAGAGACAAAATTATTAAGACTCAACCTGTGCATCACCCATGCTTAAGCTGCTATCTGCTTTACTGAACAGTTGTTTCTTCTTTCAGCAACACTAATATTGTTCACCATGCAAGGAATATTGGTTTCTCTCCATTTATGTATTTGTTTCCCACTACAGATTAGAAACTTATTTATTTATTTATTTATTCCATAGGTTATTGGAGTACAGGTGGTGTTTGTTTACATGAATAAGTTCTTTAGTGGTGATTTGTGAGATTTTGGTGCACCCATCACCCGAGCAGTATACACTGTACGCTATTTGTAGTCTTTTATCCCTTGTCTGCCTCCCACCCTTCTGCCCAATTCCCCAAAGTCCATTGTATCATTCTTATGCCTTTGCATTATCATAGCTTATCTCCAACATATCAGTGAGAACATACTATGTTTGGTTTTCAATTCCTGAGTTACTTCACAATCTCATCCAGATCACTGCACATGCTGTTAATTCATTCCTTTTTATGCCTGCATAGTATTCCATCTTATTTATATACCACAGTTTCTTTATCCACTTGTTGACTGATGGGCATTTGGGTTGGTTCCATGATTTTACAATTGCAAATTGTGCTGCTATAAACATGTGTTTGCAAGTAAGTATCTTTTTCGTATAATGACTTTTTCCTCCGGTAGATACCCAGTAGTGGGATTGCTGGATCAAATGTTAGTTCTACTTTTAGTTCTTTAAGGAATCTCCACACTGTTTTCCATCATGGTTGTACTAGTTTACATTCCAATCAGCAGTGTAGAAGTGTTCCCTGATCACTGCATCCACGCCAACATCTACTGTTTTTTTGATTTTTTGATTATGGCCATTCTTGCAAGAGTAAGGTGGTATCGCATTGTGGTTTAGATTTGCATTTCCCTGATCATTAGTGATGTTGAGCATTTTCTCATATGTTTGTTGACCATTTGTATATCTTCTTTTCAGGATTGTCTATTCATGTTTTTAGCCCACTTTTTGATGGAATTGTTTGTTTTTTTCTTACTGATTTGTTTGAGTTTGTTGTAGATTCTAGATATTACTCCTTTGTCAGATTTATAGATTGTGAAGACTTTCTGCCACTCTGCAGACTGTCTGTTTACTCTGCTGACTGTTCCTTTTGCCATGCAAAAGCTCTTTAGTTTAATTAGGTCCCAGCTATTTATCTTTGTTTTTATTGCATTTGCTTTTGGTCATGAAATCTTTGCCTATGCCAATGCTTAGAAGGATTTTTCCAATGTTACCTTCTAGAATTTTTATACTTTCAAGTCTCAGATTTAAGTCCTTAATCTATCTTGAGTTGATTTTTGTATAAGATGAAAGATGAGGATCCAGTTTCATTCTCCTACATGTGGCTAGCCAATTATGAAGCCAGCACCATTTGCTGAAAAGGATGTCCTTTCCCTACTTTATGTTTTTGTTTGCTTTGTCAAGGTCAGTTGGTTGTAAGTATTTGGGTTTATTTCTGGGATCTCTATTCTGTTCCATTGGTCTCTGTGCCTATTTCTGTACCAGTACCACACTGTTTTGGTGACTATGGTTTTATACTATAGTTTGAAATCAGGTAGTGTGATGCCTCTAGATATGTTCTTTTTTATTAGTCTTGCTTTGGATATGTGTGTTCTTTTTGGTTCCATTTGAATTTTAGAATTGTTTTTTCTAATTCTGTGAAGATGGTGGTATTTTGATGGGAATTGTATTGAATTTGTAAATTTCTTTTGGCAGTATGGTCATTTTCATAATATTGATTTTATCCATCCATGAGCATGGGATGTGTTTCCATTTGTTTGTGTCATCTATGATTTCTTTCAGCAGTGTTTTGTAGTTTTCCTTGTAGAGGTCTTTCACCTCCTTGGTTAGGTATACTCCTAAATATTTTATTTTATGTTTTGTAGCCATTGTAAAAGGGATTGAGTTATTGATCTGATTCTCAGCTTGGTCACTGTTGGTGTATAGAAGAGCTACTGATTTGTGTGCATTACACTAAATTCTTTTCTCAGTTCTAATAGCTCTCTGCAGGAGTCTTTAGGGTTTTCAAGGTAAATGATCATATCAGCAGCAAACAGTGGCAGTTTGACATCCTCTTTACCAATTTGGATGCCCTTTATTTCTTTCTCTTGTCTGATTGCTTTGGGTAGGACTTCCAGTTCTATATTGAAGATGAGTGGTGAGAGTGGGCATCCTTGCCTTGTTCCAATTCTCAGAGGGAATGCTTTCAACTATTCCCCATTTAGTATTGTGTTTACTTTGGGTTTTTCATAGATGGCTTTTTATTACATTGAGGTATGTCCCTTGTATGCTGATTTTGCTGAGAGTTTTAATCATAAAGGGATGCTGGATTTTGCCGATTGTTTTTTCTGCATCTATTGAGATGATCATGTGATTTTTGTTTTTAATTGTTTATGTGGTGTATCGCATTTATTGACTTGTGTATGTTAAACCATCCCTGCATCCCTGGTATGAAACCCACTTGATATTGGTAGATTATCTTTTTGATATGTTGCTGGATTCAATTAGCTAGTATTTTGTTAAGGATTTTAGCATCTATGTTCGTCAGGGATATCAGTGTGTAGTTTTCATTTTGGTTATGTCCTTTCCTGGTTTTGGTATTAGAGTAATGCTGGCTTCATAGAATGAATTAGGGAGGGCTCCCTATTTCTCTATCTTGTGGAATAGTGTCAATAGGGTAGGTACCAATTCTTATTTGAATGTCTGGTAGAATTCTGTTGTGAATCCATCTGGTCCTGGAATTTTTTTTTGTTAGTATTTTTTTAATTAATGTTTCAATCTTGCTGCTTGTTATTAGCTTGTTCAGGGTATCTAATTCTTCCTGATTTAAGGAGGGTTGTATATTTCCAGGAATTTATCCATCTCTTCTAGGTTTTCTAGTTTATTCATGTAAAGGTGTTCATAGTAAGCTTGAATGATCTTTTGTATTTCTGTAGCATCAGTTGTAATATCTCCTATTTCATTTCTTATTGAGATTATTTGGATTTTCTCTCTTTTTCTTGGTTAATCTTGCCAGTGGTCTATCAATTTTATTTATCTTTTCAAAACAAAACAGCTTTTTGTTTCATTTATCTTTTGTGTTTTTCATTGTTTCACTTTTATTTAGTTCTTCTCTGATCTTGGTTATTTCCTTTCTTCTGCTGGGTTTGGGTTTGGTTTATTCTTGTTTCCCTGGTTCCTTGAGATGTGACTTTAGATTGTCAGTTTGTGCTCTTTCAGTCTTTTTCATGTAAGCATTTAGGGCTATGAACTTACCTCTTAGCTGTATCCCAGAGGTTTTGGTAGGCTGTGTCTCTATTGTCATCCAGTTCAAATAATTTTTTAATTTTTATCTTGATTTCGTTTTTGACCCCATGATCATTCAGGAGCAGGCTATTTAATTTTCATGTATTTGCATGGTTTTGAAGTTTCCTTTTAGAATTGATTTCCAGTTTTATTACACTGTTGTCTGAGAGAATGCTTGATATAATTTCAAATTTCTTAAATTTATTGAAGCTCATTTTGTGGCCAATCGTGTGGTCTATCTTTGAGAAAGTTCTATGCACTGTTGAATAGAATGTGTATTCTGTGGTTGTTGGATGGAATGTTCTGCCTGTACCTATTAAGTCCATTTGTTCCTAGGTATAGTTTAAATCCATTTTTTCTTTGTTGACTTTCTGTCTTGATAACCTGCCTAGTGCTATCAGTGGAGTATTGAAGTGTTGCTCTCTACTTCACTTCTTAGGTCTATTAGTAATTGTTTTATAAATTTGGGAGCTCCAATGTTAGGTGCATATATGTTTAGGATTGTGATATTTTCCTGTTGGACAAGTCCTTTTACCATTATAAAATGTCCCTCTTTGTCTTCCTTAACTGCTGTTGCTTTAAAGTTCATTTTCTCTAATATAAGAAGAGCTACTCCTGCTCACTTTTGATGTCCATTTGCATGAAATGCTAGCAGGTGGGTGGTTGGTGAGTTCTTATCCATTCTGCAGTTCTGTATCTTTTAAGTGGAGCATTTAGGCCATTTACATTCTATGCTAATATTGAAATGTGGGGTACCATTGAATTCATCATTCTCTTTCCTGTGTACTTTGGGTTTTCTTTGTTTTTTGTTTTGTTTTGTTTTTTTGCTTTTTAACTAGTATTTTTGTCTTATATATCCTGTGAGATTTATGTTTTAAAGAGATAGTGTTTTGTTGTATTTCCAGGATTTGTTTCAAGACTTAGAGCCCCTTTTAGCAGTTCTTGTAGTGGTGGCTTGGTAGTGGCAAATTCTTTCAGCATTCGTTTGTCTGAAAAAGATTATATCTTTCCTTCATGTATTATGCTTAGTTTCTCTGGATACAGAATTCTTGGCGATAATTGTTTTGTTTGAGGAGGCTGAAGACAGGGCTGCAATACCTTCTAGCTTATAGAGTTTCTGCTGAGAAATCTGCTGTTAATCTGAGAAGTTTTTTTAATAAGTTCTCACTTATTAAAAAAGCTTCTGTCTCACAGCTCTTAAGATTCTTTCCTTTGTCTTAACTTTGGATAACCCGATGACAATGTGCCTACGTGAAGATCGTTTTGTGATGAATTTCCCATGTGTTCTTTGTGCTTCTTATATTTGCATGTGTGGGGCTCTCTCAAGACTGAGGAAGTTTTCCTCGATTATTCCCCCAAATATGTTTTCCAGGCTTTCAGAATTTTCTTCCTCAGGTACACCGATTATTCATATCCCAGACTTCTTGAAGGCTTTGTTCATATTTTCTTATTCTTTTCTTTGTCTTTGTTGGATTGGGTTAATTCTAAGACTTTGTCTTCGAGCTCTGAATTTCTTGCTTCTACTTGTTCAATTCTATTACTGAGACTTTTCAGAGCATTTAGCATTTCTGAAAGTATTCCAAAGTTTCCTGAATTTTTAACTGCTTTTCTTTAAGCTAGCTATTTCCATGAATATTTCTTTCTTCACTTCTTGTGTCATTTTTTAGATTTCCTTGCATTTGGCTTTGCCTTTCTCTGGTGCCTCCCTGATTAGCCTAATAACTAACCCCCTGAATTCTTTTTCAGGCAAATCAGGGATTTCTTCTTGGTTTGGATCCATTGCTGTTGAACTAGTGTGATTTTTGCAGGGTGTT
Organism: Homo sapiens; assembly: GCF_000001405.40. Taxonomy (NCBI): domain Eukaryota; kingdom Metazoa; phylum Chordata; class Mammalia; order Primates; family Hominidae; genus Homo; species Homo sapiens. The sequence continues at coordinate 110,511,752 of NC_000003.12, forward strand.
GAAGAGGCTTGTTTTGTCATATTACCAGGGTTGGTTTTCTGGTTCCTTCTCATTTAGGTAGGCTCTGTCAGACGGAAGGTCTAGGGCTGAAGGCTGCTGTTCAGATTCTTTTGTCCCATGGGGTGTTCCCTTGATGTAGACTCTCCCATTTTCCTATGGATGTGGCTATCTGTGGGCAGAACTGCAGTGATTGTTGTATTTCCTCTGGGTCTAGCCACCCAGAGTGTCTACACGGCTCCGGGCTGGTACTGGGGGTTGTCTGCACAGAGTCCTGTGCTGTGAACCATCTATGGGGTATCTCAGCCATGGATACCAGCGCTTGTTCTGATGGAGGTAGCAGAGGGGTGAAATGGACTCTGTAGGGTTCCTAGCTTTGGTGGTTTAATGCTCTATTTTTGTGCTGGTTGGCCTCCTGCTGGGAGGTGGCACTTTTCAGAGAGCATAAGCTATGGTAGTATGGAGAGGAACCGACGGTGGGCAGGGCCCTCGAACTCCCAAGATATATGCCCTTTCTGTTCAGTTACTAGGGTGGGTAGAGAAGGACCATCAGGTGGGGGCAGGGCTAGGTGTGCCTGAGCTCAGACTCTTCTTGGGCAGGTCTCGTTGTGGCTGCTGTTGGAAATGGGGTTGCAGTTCCTAGGTCAATGGAATTATGTAACTAGAATTATGGCTGGCTCTGTTGAGTCAGGTAGGTTGTCAGCAAAGTAGGGGAAACCCAGCAGTCACAGACCTCACCTTGTTCCTACACAATCAAAAGGGCCAGTCTCATTCTGACCATGGCCTACCTTCTGTTTTCAGGAAGTGGGCAAGCAAGGCTGAGAACTTGTCCCAGGCTGTGAAAGAAAGTAGGGTTTAGTTCTTCCTCTGCCTGTGGAGTCTGCACGCCAGATTTGTGCCCTCCCCTGAGTTCTGGCCAGGAGGTTTCTTGACCAGTTCAAATTGTTACAAAGTTCAGCTGGAGATTTCCTTCTCTCTGTGGCATTTCCCCCCATGCCTCTGGCTGCCCCCTGCCCCCGAAGGATCCCTGTGATGTCAGGTAGAAATGGCCTGCTTGAGGACCCAGCTAGCTCACAGCACCTTTCCCACTGCTTCCTCTACCCCTGTATTTTGCTCAGTTCTCTAAATTAACTCAGTTTCAGGTAAGGTTGGAATCTTCTCTTTTAACCTAGACCTTCAGTTTCTCCAGTGCGGGTGTGTGTTCGGGGGGGCAGAGGCCCTCCTTTTCCCACTTTCACAGTTTGGGCACTCACAGTATTTGGGGTGTCTCCCAGGTCCTGCAGGAGCAATCCACTTCCTTCAGAGGATCTGTGGGTCCTCTCAGATTTCCTGATTTATTCCTGTAGTCGTTCTGGTGTTAAAATTCACGATGCAAGCCTCCACATGCTGCTCTGTCTGTCCAAGTCAGAGCTGCAATCTGGTCCTGCCTCCCATTTGCCATGATGCTTATTTGCCTCAGGAGCTATGTTTAAACTCCTTAAACCTTGTTTTTATAAATGCTCCCCGCTGAACACACAAAGACTCTATTCCTCTTTTCTTTCTCTTCTTCTTCTTCTTTTTTTTTTTTTTTTTTTAATAAAAATCTCTCTCCTCTCACTACTCCATGCACTTTCATCTTTCAATTTACCTCCTGGCAATTTTCAGATATTTTTCCAAACTGAGCCCTGCATATAATCCTTGTGATCCATTCTTACTCTTTTATTTCTTTAATAAGACCAAATGTCCTTTGAGGTTTCAGACTTGTAAGTTGGGCAGAGGCTAGAACATTGGCACCTCACAAAGCCTCACCAGGAGATTATTCTAGGTATGACAAACTAATTCCTGCTCTTTATGTAAAGAGAAAAGGGAAGAAGCATACATTTCTTTTTATTTCTGATGGTGTCAGGCAAATTGATTATTTTATATTGTCTGACAAAGTTTATACCACATCAGCTTATACATTGCATTAGAAAAATAATTTTATACTGGGCACCATTTGTGGAAAGCATACAAATATTCAAGCTATCCTTGAGTTTGGTAAGTAATCTGTAGTGAAGATATCTGATAAAATCCACCTTTGATACTTCAACCTGTCATTAGTTTTAAAATGACTATATTGGTCTATCTAAAATAAAATTTTATTCATCTCTCATCAGGCTTAGCTCAGTGTTACTTATATTCATGAAACACTATGAGAGTTCACAAAAAAAAGAAAAGCAATAATAATTTAATTTTTATAATAGCAATGAGAACACAAGCTTAAAAATAGGTTATTTTATGTGCTAAGATTGAATAATCACACTAAATATAAAATAGAAATAAAAATGTAAATAGAATTCCTCCTAATAGAAAAGCTATAAATTATGAATTTGATTCTCATCAAAAACAAATAAAAAAGCTAATAAATATATGGTCTCCTTTTAAATAAATTGGAAACACACATTATCAGTAAGAAATTGTTAATCTTTTTAATTTTTTTAATTTTTAATTTGTGTGGGTACATCATAGGTGTATATATTTATGGAGTACATGAGATGTTCAGATACAGACATGCAATGCATAATGATCACATCATGGGGATGGAGTATCCATCCTCTCAAGCATTTGTCCTTTGTGTTACAGCTGTTAATTTTTTTAAGGCATAAATTGCTGCACACATTTACAAAGCTATTTTAAATGTTTCAAGAATATTAAAAATCTTTCTATCCTTTAACTCAGTTTCAAGACTTAAAAAGATGCATAAGTTACTTACACTTGAGGATGTTCAAGGCTTTATTTATAATAGAAAACAAAGGCCTGGTACAGTGGCTCACACCTGTAATCCCAGCCCTTTGGGAGTCCGAGGCGGGCAGATCATGAGGTCAAGAGTTTGAGACCAGCCTGGTCAACATGGTGAAACCATGTCTTTACCAAGAATACAAAAATTAGCTGGGCATGATGGTGGGCACCTGTAATCCCAGCTACTCTGGAGGCTGAGGCAGGAGAATTGCTTGAACCTAGGAGGCGGAGGTTGCAGTAAGCTGAGATCATGCCACTACACTGCAGCCTGGGTGACAAAGCAAGACTCTGTCTTGACAAAAAAAAAAAAAAAAAGGAAAAGGAAAAGAAAAAAAGAAACTAGAAATAATGCCTATATCCAAAATTAGGCTAAATAATTTGCATTGTACACTTAAAATATTATACACATTTTACAAATCATGTTTTCAAGGAATAATGATATTAAAAATACCCTGAAGAGAAGGAAAGCTGGTATAAAATTGTTTTTAAAATGTTCTTATATATGTTCTTATATATAAGTATGTAAATATTTAAAAATATATGGATAAAGCAATATGGAAATGGAAGAGAACAAGCATTGGAAAAAATACTCTTAAGTGTTTAATAGTGGTCATTTCTTGGTGATAGATATAATTTTTGTTTGTATACTTCAATAAGCATATATTACTTTTATGATCAGAAAAGAAGAAAGGATCATTTTGTTATAGTTGGGAGTTTCTTATTATATTTTTAATTGATATAGTTGTACAAATTTTCGGCATACATGTGATATTTTGCTACATGTACACAATGTGACGAACAAATCAGAGTAAATTGGGATATCCATCATCTTTAACACTTATCTTCTTTTGTGTGTTGGGTACATTACAATTCTTCTAGATATTTTGAATCACACAATAAATTATTAACTATAATTTTTCTAGTGTACTGTAAAATACTAGAACTTATTCTATCTAACTGCATTCTAGTGCCCATTAATCTACTTCTCTCCATCCCCCTTCCTCCTTTCCCTTCCCAGACTCTAGTAATCACCATACTAGTCTCTACCTCCATAAGACCCATTATTTTAACTCCCACATATGAGTGAGAACATACAAGCTTTGTCTTTCTGTGCCTGGCTTACTTCCCTTAGCACAGTTTCCTCCAGTTCCATCCATGCCACTGCAAATGACATTTCATTCTTTTTTATAGCTAAGTAGTATTCCATTGTGTATATGTACCACACATTCTTTATCCATTCATCCTTTGATGTATATTTAGGTTTATTCCATATCTTGGCTATTGTGAATAATAACATGGGATGATTATGTAATAAACATGGGAATGCAGATGTCTCTTCCATGTACTGATTTTCTTTCTTTTTGATATATTCCTGGCAGTGAGATTGCTGTATCATATGGTATCTCTAGTTTTAGTTTTTTGAGGGACCTCTGTACTGTTTTTCATAATGACTGTGTTACTTTGCATTCACAGTAACAGTATACAAGAAAAGTGATGTAGTAAAAAAGAACAGTATACATCAAAATGATGTAGATAAAGATGGAAAAAAACAATCAACTTGATAATAAATAAAAGGAAAATAGAGAGAAACAGAAATGAAAGGAGAGAGAAAGAGGAGTGAAGAAAGGGTAAGAAAGAGAAAAAGGACCAATATGGGGAAACCAAACATTGGATATGCTCAGAAGGAGCACCGGAATTTCCATCTAGGAAGGGCTTGGCACAATCCCACTGGGAAAATAAAATGAAATTTTAATTCTCTAATTGTTATATAAAATTATAACAATACTGTATTTAAGCTTTCTGTCACTTCTAGAACTATTAATAGACATTTCAGGCTTTTGAATAAACACTATATAAAACCCAGAGAAGAATACTACTGTTGTCATATTCCATTACCTTCTCTTGAACTAGTTATTTTTAATGATTTAAGTATTAACAAATATATTTATTCCCAAGTCTACAAGGATATTGGTGAGAATAAATTATCACCCTCTTCTGAAAAAAGGACACTTGTTGAACTTATAATATATGATAGCCATAACTAGGTGCTCTGGAACAACCGTACAACAAAGAGATTATTATCCCCCCCCACTTTTTTTTTTTGAGACAGCGTCTCACTCTGTCGCCCAGGCTGGAGTGCAGTGGAATGATCTCGGCTCACTGCACCCTCTGCCTCCCAGGCTCAAGCGATCCTCCCACCTTAGCCTTCTGAGTAGCTGGGACTTCAGGCATTCACCACCACACCCAGCTAATTTTTTAATTCTGTGTAGACACAGGGATTCCCCATGTTGCCCAGCCTGGTCTTGAATCCCTGAGCTCCAGCAATCCACCCACCCACATTGGCTTCCCAAAGTGCTGGCATTACAGGCCTGAGCTGCCACACCCAGCTTATTTTCCCCATTTTATAGTTTATCAAACTGAGGTTTAGACTGCTTAAGCCGTTTGCTCAAAGTCACACAATTAGGAATTCCTAAGTCATAATATATCCCTATTCTTCAACTGCTCCTTCTCACCACAATGCCTTTACTTAATGAACTCACTAATGATTTTTTCTCCTGCTCTATAAGCATCCTGCTCATGTGTTCTTACTGAACCATCATTGGCTTAATAAGGAGACATTTCTATTTTCTGTTATTATCTCAATCCATAACCAAGACGACTATCTCTATTTACTGTGGAAAGTTCTCCATGAATCATTCAACTGATGCTCTAGTCTATAGCCAAAATAATTTCAATGGATACTGCTATGTACCACTTCGATCTCTCATCCAGATCTGTGACACTTAATCCCCCAGTTTCTCAGCATGTTGGCAGCTAAGTGTTCTCGGGTGAGTACATTTCCAGTACTTACTCAAAGTCATGCCCTGTTTCCTAAAGCCACGCGTATCCAATGACTGGTTTATATGAGAATATAAAGACCCTTGTATCTATCTCAGACCATTTTTAAGGGTCATCCCAACACCAGCACTTCCTGTCAGATTGGTTAGGGCCTCTAACATAACTTCCCTGTAGTTAAATCTCTACCTCTGCCAGATCCTGCTTTCTTCACTTCCACCATTCCTAGATATTGATTCTGGGAGAAATTCCTAGTAAACATTTTCCATGGACATTTTTAATCTCAGAAACTGCTTTCTGGGAAATCCAATCTGAAACAGTTGTTGCTAAAAGTGGTCTGAGAAAACAACTCAAAAATGGAATTTTAAAACTGGATCACCTGCTGGCTAGCTGGCAAGGAGAATCCCATCACTAGTAGTAAATGCACAGATAAAATCCTTTACAGGTGATAATAGTACTATTGTTACAATTTCTACTTGTTGTGAATTGAGATGGTACTGGTAAAAAGAAATGCATGGTAGATGCAATATAAAAAGCAATTGAGAAATATACGGGAATTATTATGATAAGGATTATGACTTTTAAAGACTGATGTTGGGGCAATTGATGATTTGAAAAAAGACAATGGAAGACTAAAAGGTGATTAATCACCAATTAAGGATTAAATGTGAAAGACAGATGATCTTAATGACCCATTCGTTGCAGCTAGAGAGCTTCAGCATACAGTTGACCCTTGAACAACATGCACTGGAACTGTATGGTTCTGTTATATGTAGATGTTTTTTAACCAAAAGGGGATAAAAAATGCAGCATTCACAGGATTTGAAAACTGCATACTTGCCACTTTTAGCTCATTCACTTCAATTAACATGATGTCATTGATGTAGTAAGTAGTGACTAAGTGTGATATTCTATGGGATGTCCTTATGGTCCTATTAAGCCTCAGGCTACAGGTGCCTGCCAGTTAACTTCAGACTCCTTGTGCCAAGACACCAACAGGCAAAGGTGAAAAATCAATGTTTGGAAGTTTAGGATGCTATTATACAGTTGGGAGAGTGAATAGTATGTTTGCCACCAAGTGATCTTACACAAATTACTTAACCTTGATGCCTTAATTGTCCCAATATTTATAATGAAGACAGTAATAGTGGTAATAATAAGGATATTGTGAGAATTAAGTAGATTAATACATGTAAAAAATTTAGGACAATTGCTGGTATATAAGTACTACATAGTACTAGCTATCATTGGCATGTCCATGCCTAAATTTTATTGGCCAAATTTACATTTTTTAAAGATATTGTATTTTTATTCCATTATTTCATCAGGGATTACTCAGATTTTTAAAATCTTGTTCTTCCTTCTTTTTTTCTTTTTTTGCACTGTGTTGCTGTAGGATTTATTTTCACCTCATGAATTTGTGCAACTACAATGCTACTTTAAGGAAAAATTAATTTACTGCTAGGCACTGATCCACAATTCAGTTGACTACCTTCACATTAATAACAGATGATGACCATGGTTCTTGTATAGGTAGATAAACCTTTCTAAGCATGCTTGATGCAGAATACAAGACTAAAAAGACTATTTCCTAGATTTTCTCATTCAGAACAAAAAATACAAAGTATAGTCTGATTTTGCTACTCATAGTGTGTATTTTCTACTGTGTGATTATGCCATTCTTCATATACTATACGTATCTGGAAACTGAGTCTAATAGTTTACAGTATTGGCAGCCTAAATATGAAGCAAACCTACTATTTTCTTCATCAATAGATCACAAAGGGGAAACTGGGTATGTATAAAAATCATAAGAACATTTTACTAAACTACAATATCACTTTTACAGCTTTACACCATTTTATATGCTAAAACCATTCCCACATTGGGGTAGGCAGGGATGTTGGACATGAGCAAGTGGAAAATTTCCGGTTAATTCTGGCAACTCCCCATGGTCAGCAGCCAATGCTTCATTCCTCTGATTTAAAACTCAGTTAAATCCTCTTCTTCCACTCTGCCCCTAATTTTGTTAATGAAACTCATTAAACCTCTGTATAGTTTGCCTTCTTGAGATTTTTCTTCCCACATTAGTGGCAGAATTGTCTTTTCATTACCTGTGATGCTTCAAATCTGGCTATTTCTTAAGACTATGACTCTGAACTTTCTATATTATTGTCCCTAGAAAGTCCTTAAAGTTACTTGCTCTTTTTTTTTCTATCTTTTGATAGAACTTTATTTTAAAAGGCACTCAAATGTATTTTAGATAGTTGACTATTGGCCTGTTATCTTCATGATGTCTTCCTTGAAAATGGATCTCTGCCTCATCCAACCATGTGTCCCCAAGCATCTATTCTAATGCCTGGCACATAGCAAACGATTACTGCATATTTTTCCATTTTCCATTGAGAAGTTAACATAACAGCATATAATCACTCTCCCTCTTTTCTTTATATAATAATTATCATGGGAAATTACTTAAAAAGTAGATGTCAGCCTCTTCCAGAAGAGAATTGCATTCAGTACATCACAGAAGGACTTAAGTAATCTTTTTAAAAACCATCCAGTGATTTTAATAATGATGGCCATTAGAACAGTTGAAAAAACAGGAGTCTAGAGTCTAGTCTACATTTTCACAGGTTCAGAAATTTGGTTTTGCCAGTAAACACAAAGGTGATCAGAATCAGGCAACTATCTCACAATACACTTGACTATATTGGTAATACAATAAATTTTTTATACTCAGGGTCTGGTTCTGTTTTCCGGGCTAGAGTTCAGTGCCAGGATCATGGCTCCCTACAGCCTCCAACTCCTGGGCTCAAATAATCTTTCCACCTCAGCAGCTAAACTAGCTGGAACTGCAGGCACATGCCACCACACCCAGCTATTTTTATTTATTTATTTATTTTTACTTTAGAGATTGTGTCTCACTATGTTGCCCAGGCTGGTCTCAAACTCCTAGTCTCAAGTGATCCTCCCACTTCAGCCTCCCAGGCTTCTAGGATTAGAGCCATGAGCCACCACACTTGGCAATATATTAATTTTAAATGAGAAATGAAACTATAGAAAGACTAATCAGTGAGTCAGTTAATTCTCACCTATACGAAAATTAACACGAAATATTATAAAATTTTAATTAGAAAATTGTTTTGTGAGCGAGGCCAGTTCTGTGGGTGATGTTCGACTTGTGTCTTCTGACACAGAAAGGTGGATGCTCTGGTCTCCGCTTAGACGTCTACCTGCCCAGCAGCCCATATAGTGTTAGTCAGTAAGCTAGAATGTACTAGGAAATGTTTGCCTTCAGAATGCCCACTTTCCATACGCCATGCAGGCATCGTCCCTCAGAAGTACATTCTTCTTAAGGACACGCTACTTTAAAATTGACATTCTATCATCTTTATTGGACTTACTAATCACTTTTTCAAGTGAGGCAAATATATACAGTTCTGGTTACTTTAAAAAAATTCCTTCATAATTTAATTCTCATTTCATAGATGCATTCCCAATTCCTAAGAATACTTTTAACTGTCTCAAAATAGTTTTGGTCATACATTTCATAATTATTGCCATAAACAGACAAGTCTTTAACCTCTCTGACTCTGAAATTGGAGTGACAGTAAATGGCCTATTTGAATTGTTTTGTAACTAAGAAATTGATATCATATAATATATGTTTAATTATTTTATTTCTGTAAAGTTATTTTCAACAAACAAGTCCTAACTTTGCTTCAGAGTTTGGTATTTTGTTTCTATTGGATTGCAGTTTCTGGGAAAGGTACTGTGCATTTTCACTTGGCAGGCAAAGGCATTTCATGTGCATATGCACATGCACACAATATGTACTCATGCCAAAGCTAGATAAGATGAAACAGGGTGCCTTTGCACATTGCAGCGGAAACTACGGAAACATAGGAAAAGGGCTGACTCACACCATCATCATCAGAGGCTAACTAGGCAATTCTACACAAACATTTACTGGCAACTGAAAAAAAGCACCAATTTTTTATCTATAAACAAAATAAGAAACCTCACAGAGAACTAAAGTGGCAGAACACACTCAGAAAAAAACTTAAAGTAAAAGAATAGATTGGGATGAGAAGAGAAACTGAATAGAAAACTAGGAGGAGGCCCAAAGAAAGCAGCTTAATTCCCCAAGATGTTCACATAAATAAGATTGTAGAAAATATCCTTCTTCTCTTTGTTTTCCCCAAAACCAGTTGTTTAAAAGAAATGTATGGAGCCAAAAGTTCTAAAATTTCAACTTGTGCTTATTGAGAATTAAGTAGATTTTCATGAGTAAAATACATTAACTAGCCAAAACTTCATAATATCTACTTGACATGAGAGGTTAATTTTCAAAGGATAAGGGAAAATAGCTATTTCAATCTGTAGAATCAGTAGGATAAAATCATCATGGAAAAAATGATCAGTCCAGTAGCTTTTTGTAGCATGTGTCTAGAACATCAGAGACTAAAACATTAGGAAATATGGTGACAGAAAAAAAAAGCATTAAATTGAGAAAAGATTTTATTTGCACAAAAGCTGCTAACGCACATAAACAAGAATCTTTAAGATGTCATTCTGATGGATTTTAACATACAGGATAGATTATTCACTTAAAAACCCTTCAGCAAGTAGAGAGTCGGATACTTAAAGAATGAAGAGCTCTGTATACAATTGTTTTCACTGCTCTGACACCAATTTACCGAAAAACCTTGGTAGTAAGTCATTTGCTCCAAGCCTCTGTGTCTTCATTATTTTAAAAACATTAATAAGCCCTACAAATATGGGGCCTTAGTTAAACAAATAGCATAGGGTAGATTAAAGGCAGTCATGGAATCTTGGCTACTGCTTCTATTGAGAGATCAAGTCACTCTTCTAGTTGAATGTCAGCTGGCCCTAGGAATTACTCAAGTAGCAGAATGCAGAAATGATGTTCTGGAGCTTCTGAGGTTAGGTCACAAAAAGAATTGCATCTTTTATCTGGGACTCTTGGAATGCTTCTTCTGGGAAATTCAGTCACATGTAAAAAAGTCACACTCAGTTTAGGACTGCCATACTGTCAGGAAGCCTAAGCTAGCCATGGGGTCACATGGAGAGAGAAAGCAAACCAACTTTCAGAGCTCTAGGCTCTCAGGCCATGTGTCAGATATGTACATGAAGAAACTTCAGATGACTCTAGCCCCAGCTACTATCCATTTGACTGCAATTACATGGGAAACCCCAAACAAGAATTGCCCAGGACGGGAGGGAATACACAGCATGAAGGTGAAGTGGATCACCTGTGGGATACGGGATAGATTGGGTGAAAAGGAGAGTCCTGGGAGGGGACTAGTAAGGGAGAAATAGAGAACCTCTTAAATTATCTAAATTATATTCTTATTTTAATGGAAAAATTTGGAAATTTTTGCCATTCCAGCTTTGAAGAGCTAAGAAGCGCTTATTTGGGCCAAAGTCAGGGCAGAGAAATAAAGTGGTAAATAAGGAAGTAATACTGGATATCATTATTTAAATCTAAATGCACAAAGGAGTTTAAATGAAGTGACAGGTCCATTTAATGAGAAGTAATATTTTTAGCACTGTTGGTAATAACTAATTGAATGACTGAGTATGTGTGGAGCTAAGAAACCCTATAGCTAGAGAGAACAAGAGGAATGTGAAAGTGGAGCATCCAAAGTCTCACAACTTTTGACTTGGAAGAATCAGCTTATTTCTACTTCCTTTAGTGGTGGCATTCAGAGTTACCCCATCACTGGAGGAAAGGAGACTCAACCTGGGATTTGTTTGTCCTTATTCTACCACGTCTTATTATACATGTTTATAGGTCAGTTTTCTTTTTTTTTTCTTTGTGAATACAAAGGCTGGCACAGTACCTTGAATGTAATGGATTTCTGGTAAATATTGAAATACATGAGTAAGAAAAAAAATATATACCTAATTGGTCCTGGTTTCTACTTCTTATTTTTGTTTGGGAGCAAAACATATTGTACTCTAAAATCACACTTAAGATGAATTTAATATTATATTCCAGCTAGTCATATGTACTCTATACCTATTTTTAAGGTATTAATGATATACTCGTGATGTAAGAATCTGAGGACAAAATCCAGTTAATTTCCATGTGAAAAAAGTCTTGAGAGTAAAATATTCAGCAATAATATGTTAAATTGATGAAGTCCTTATAATGAAAATTGGGTTGAGTTGTCTATTCCTGTTTCCAAATATACTTCTACTTCTTCACTATGATATGGCCACATGAATTTGAGGTGTTAATAATTTTCCAAAATAGAAAAATCTTATTGATATTTTGTAAGTCTTGTAATTCACTCTATTTTCTTAGGAAAATCTAGGTTTATAATTTTAGAACTCTGGTAGTTCCTTCATTAACTTATGGCATGGTTTATCTCTGTGTCTCCACGCAAATATCAAATTGTTGCTCCTATAAATCCTATGTGTTGTGGGAGGCATCTGATGGGAGATGATTGAATCATGGGGGCGGGTCGTTCCCGTGCTGGTCTCGTGATAGTGAACGGGTCTCACAAGATCTGATGGTTTTAAAAAACAGAAGTTTCTCTGCACAAGCTTTTTTTTTTTTTGCCATCCACATAAGATGTGACTTGCTCCTTCTTGCCTCCCCAGCCATGTGGAACTGTAAGTCCATTAAACCTTTTTCTTTTGCAAATTGCCCAGTCTCTGGTATGTCTTTATCAGGTGTGTGAAAACGAACTAACACAGCAAATTAGTACCAGTAGAGTGAGGCATTGCTAAAAAGATACCCGAAAATGTGGAAGCGATTTTGGAACTGGGTAACAGGCAGAAGTTGGAACAGTTGGGAGGGCTCAGAAGAAGACAGAAAAATGTGGGAAAGTTCAGAACTTTCTAGAGACTTGTTAAATGGCTTTGACAAAAATGCTGATAGTGATATGAACAATAAGGTCCAGGCTGAAGTGGTCTTAGATAGAGATGAGGAACTTGCTGGCAACTGGAGCAAAAGTGACTCTTGTTATGTTTTAGCAAAGAGACTGGTGGCATTTTGCCCCTGGCCTAGAGATTTGTGAAACTTTTAACTTGAGAGAGATGATTTACGGTATCTGGCAGAAGAAATTTCTAAGCAGCAAGGCATTCAAGATGTGACTTAGATGCTGTTAAAGGCATTCAGTTTTATTGGAGCATAAAAGTTCAGAAAGTTTGCAACCTGATAATGCAATAGAAAAGAAAATTCCATTTTCTGAGGAGAAATTCAAGCTGCCTACAGAAATTTGCATAAGTAACGAAAAGCCAAATGTTAGTCCTCAAGACAATGAGGAAAATGTTTCCAGGGCATGTCAGAGGTTTGCATGGCAGCCCCTCCCATCACAGGCCCAGAGGCCTAGGAGAAAAAAGTGATTCCATGAGCTGGGTCCAGGATCCCCTGCTGTGTGCAGCCTAGGGACTTGGTGCCCTGCATCCCAGCCACTCCAGCTGTGGTTCAAAGGGGCCAACATAGAGCTTGGACTGTTGCTTCAGAGGGTGTAACCCTCAAGCCTTGGTAGCTTTCATATGGTGTTGAGCCTGCAAGTGCACAGAAGTCAAAAGTTGAGGTTTGGGAACCTCTGCCTAGATTTCAAAAGATGTATGGAAATACCTGGATACCCATGCAGTGTTTGCTGCAGGGGTGGAGCCCTCATGGAGAACCTCTGCTAGAGCAGTGCAGAAGGGAAAAGTGAGGTGGGAGCCCACACACAGAGTTCCTGCTGGAGGACTGCTTAGTAGAGCTGTGAGATAATGGCCACCATCCTCCAGACCCCAGAATGGTAGATGCACTGACAGCTTGCACTGTGCACCTGGAAAAGCCACAGATACTCAATGCCAGCCATGAAGGCAACTGGGTGGGAGACTGTACCCTGCACAGCCACAGGGACAGAGCTGCTCAAGATCGTGGGAACCCATCTCTTGCATCAGCATGACCTGGATGTGATACCTGGAGTCAAAGGAGATCATTTTGGAGCTTTAAGATTTGACTGCACTGCTACATTTTGGACTTGCATGGGGCCTGTAACTCCTTCGTTTTAGCCATTTTCTCACATTTGGAATGGTTGTATTTGCCCAGTGCCTGTACCCCCATTGTATCTAGGAAGTAACTAACTTGCTTTTGATTTTACAGGCTCATAGGCAGAAGAGACTTGCCTTGTCTCAGATAAGACTTTGGACTGTGAATTTTTGAGTTTATGCTGAAATCAGCTGAGACTTTGGGGCACTGTTGGGAAAGCATGATTAATTTTGAAATGTAAAAATATGAGATTTGGGAGGGGTGAGGAGCAGAATGATATGGCTTGGCTCTGTGTCCCCTCCCAAATCTCATCTTTTAGCTCCCATAATTCCCACGTGTTGTGGGAGGGACCTGGTGGGATATCATTGAATCATGGCGTCAGGTCTTTCCTGTGCTGTTCTCGTGATAGTAAATGGGTCTCACAAGATCTGATGGTTTTAAAAAACGGGAGTTTCTCTGCACAAGCTCTGGTTTTTTGCTTGCTGCCATCCGAGTAAGATGTGACTTGCTCCTCCTTGCCTTCTGCCATGATTGTGAGGCCTCCCCAGCCATGTGGAACTGTAAGTCCAATTAAATCTCTTTCTTTTGTAAATTCCACAGTCTCGGGTATGTCTTTATCAGCAGAGTGAAAACAGACTAATATAACTTATATTTGAAGACAAAGTGCTCATGTTTCATCTTAAAAACATCTCTCAGCCTGACAATATATAACACCATGGACTATAGAATGCCTTCTCTAATTCAGTGGTCTTTCATTTCATCCTGTGTCATTCATTTTCTATATCTGTCATCAATCAAATTTGTCTCTAATATATACTTGCTAAGTTTCCCTGATAATCACCTTCTCTAAAGTACCATGCCAGAACCTTTAATCTTCCCAAAAGTGTGCCTTTCTTTGGTCATAATTAAATGATAATTGTAAAGCCCTACATGATCCCAGCTAAGAAGATGTGGGTAATAAAATGAATGTCATTTTGCTTCTGATATCTGAATTTCCTGCTGGACTGGATATAAATTAAGAAGGAAAAGAAAGTATCTTTTTGTAGATAAATGTATGAAATAAAGTTTTTGATGATAATTACAGTTTTCCTACCTGTTTCTGAAGTTAAAATTTCATATAGAAAATTGTAATTTTTGAAAGGAGACATAATGTCTCTCTATATAGGTAACCCAGATATCACTTATAGCCTTGACTGAGTGGTCCTGGTTTTTCTGAAGAATATTAGAGCAAGACTTAGTGTACATGGAGACATAGCACCTGCAAATTGTTTAATCCTTCATTGCTCAGAAGAGTACTATATGATTATAGGTCATACAATTCTGCAAGCGCAATGTCATCTCCCAGATTTAGCCAGATATTTTCCCTTTGATGATGGTGTATGTTTATAAATATTAGTAAGTCAATTGGGTTCTCAGGTATCTGACAATATGACACTGGAAAGAATCTTAGAATTTAGAATCTTAGAAATTATGGCATTATTCAGTCAGAATCTGGTCTGCTTGAATACTTGTAAGACTGTGGGCTCTGGCACATGTTTAAGCCCTCAAACACCTCCCAGACATTCCCTGGGGGTGACTCATCCAGTTTTAAGTATCACTGACTATATGCCTCACTGCTTCTTTTCACTTCCATATAGAAAGCTTATGGATCTTTGGGGAAATGTGAGAAATGAGTTTCAAAAGAGGCTTTAACAAGTGAATGGCACAGAGTTTGCACTGTGGAGGAAGAAAGGCAATGGGGGAAGTAATTAAAGTATTTAGAGATTCATTTAATTTACCAAGCTAAATAAAGGAGCTATGGGTTGAGCTGTCCCATGGTTAACATTACACAGGAACACTACTATTTTCTTTCATTCTTCTCTGGAAACAATCTTGAATCATATTCTTCCAGTTACTTCACAAAATGTGGTGCTTGTGAGAAATTACATGTTATTGAGATGTGGTATTCAGTCATTGAGATGTATAATTTGACCTGAAGTAAAGGAGCTCACACAAAGCTTTCCACCTAGACTGTAACCTAGTCATTTGACATAGTCTTAGGGGTTGTGAAATGGGAGATGACACATATTCCTCTTCTTTTTTATCTGTTTATTGGTAAAACAGTGCATACCGAGCTTGGCTCAGAACATTCTTTATTCTGTACATAACTGATTATATCCTTCAGTGTTTCCACTCCACGTACTGCAGATTCCAAAGTCCTGAGTGTGGCCTAATAGGACCCTCCCAGCATGGCTTCTAGCTCCTTTATCCAGCCTCCTTCTTCCTTACCACTCCTCCCAATGCAGATGCCTGGTTTTGTCATTAAAAGTGTCTGTAATTCTTGCAAGGTTCTCACAGGTACATGTCGGCAGATGCTTTCTCTCCTATTCTTTTCTTCAACACAAGCCCAAGCTTCACTTCCTTTATGAAGGTATAAACCAAAAATTATCTGAGACAAGTCTTAATCAGTTTAGTTTATTTTGCCAAGGTTAAGGACATGCCCATGACACACCCTCAGGAGTTCCTGATGGTATGTGCCAAGGTGGTCTAGCTACAGCTTAGTTTTATACATTTTAGGGAGACATAAGACATCAATCAGTACATGTAAGATGTACATTGGTTCTGTCTGAAAAGACAAAACAACTCAAAGTGTGGGCTTCCAGGTCATAGGTGGATTCAGAGATTTTCCAATTGGCAATTGGTTGAAAAAGTTTATCTAAAGACCTGGAATCCATAGAAGGGAGTGTCTGGGTTAAGACAAGGGGTTGTGGAAACCAAGGTTCTTATTATGCCGATGAAGCTTACAGGTAACAGGCTTGAGAAAGAAAAGATTGTAAATGTTTCTTATCAGACTTAAAAAAGATACCAGACTCCTTTAATTCTCTCCTGGATCAGGGAAAAGAACTGGAAAAGGAAAGAAATTCTGTACAGAATTTAGATTTTCCCCACAAGGGACAACTTTGCAGGGACATTTCAAAATATTTCAAAGAAATATATTTTAGGGTAAAATACTTCAATTTCTTTCAGAGCCTGCTATCTGTTGTGTAACACAATACCAGAGTCAGGCTGGAATTCAGTGTCTTTTTGCTACAAAAAGTCTTAAAAACCTCTGTTTTAATGTTAATGTTGGTTAGTTGTGCCTGATTCCAAAGGGAGGAGGGCGTAAGGAGGTATGTATGACCTCCACTTCCCATCACGGCCTGAACTGGGTTCTCACATTAACTTTGAAATGGCCTTGGCCTAGAAGAGGGGTTCATTCAGATGGTTAGAGGGCTTAGAATTTTATTTTTAGCTTACAAAGGTAACACTTCTTACATCTTAAAAAGTTTTTCTGCTCCCACAACTCCTACAGCTTTTATAGCACTGATCACATTTCAATAGTTCTGCCTCCTGAACCAGAACATAAGTTCCTGGAAGATAAGAAGTGAGCCATTTTATAGTTTCATCCCTTATCTTTCCACCCCTTAGAGCACAGCAGTTCCCGAAATAAAATAGGAGATCCATGCATTTTTGAAATGTATTTTTTAAAATGATTCATCTCTCCATGTAAGAGAAGTGTTGTAGGTGGTTTCTAAGATGGTCTCCAAAATCCTCTGCCTCCCGTATTCATGCTTTTGTAAAATTCCCTCCCCTTCAGTTGGATTTCATGACTCACTTCTAGAGAAGATAATGCAGCAGAGGGAATGGGGTGTCACTTCCAAGATTAGGTTACAAAAAGTCTGTGATGGCCATCTTGGTCACTCTCTCTTGTTCTCTCTCTCTTCTTTTTTGAGGAAGGCAGCTGCCATGTTAGGAGTACATGATGAAAAGGTCTACATTTCATCTGAAAGAGGATTCTGGTCAGCAGTCAGAGAGGAAATAAGGTCCTCAGCCCAGTATCCTGAGAAGAACTGAAATTCTGCCAACAACCATAATGTGAATGAATTTAAAAGCAAATTGTTCCCCAATTTCTACTTCAAAGGAAACTGCAATGCCCTGAGAGACCTTGAGTCAGAGGCACCCAGCTAAGCTGGGCCAGTATTCCTGATCCACCAACACTGTGATCATGTCGTAGTAAGCTTCCAAATTGTGGGCCATCTGTTACACTATAAGAGATAATAAATAGAGGGAGTAAAGAGTTACATTAAATAATAAAACTCTAAATTACACAGTGTTGTGCCATGAGTTTGGTATTGTAACAACAATAGTTTAGGTTTTACTCTGCTTTGTAAAGCAGAAAGAAAGATTGCAATTTCAGGAGAGAAAGAAGCGCAATCCTTTCAGGACAGGAGAGAAAGAAAAGCAATCCTTCAAAAATAATTTGGCCATGTGCAGGGACTCACGCCTGTAATCCTAACACTTTGGGAGGCCAGGCAGGCCAATCACTTCAGGTCAGGAAATCAAGACCAACCTGGGCAATGTAGTGAAACCCCATCTCTACTAAAAATACAAAAAATTAGCCAGGCTTGGTGGTGCATGCCTGTAATCCCAGCTACTTGGGAGGCTGAGGCAGGAGAATTGCTTGAACCCAAGAGGTGGAGGTTGCTGCGAGCCGAGATTGTGCCACTGCACTCCAGCCTGGGTGACAGAGTGAGACTCTGTCTCAAAAAAATAATAATAAAATAAAAATAATTCAAAAATATATATTAAGTATCTATAATATAGAAAGGATTATTACAGCATCTGGGAATACAACAATAACAAAAGCAGGAATATGATTCAGTTCCAGTTAATGGTGAAATAGCATGTATTGAACTAGCCATCATACTGTTAACAATGATAAATCTGGGGGAAAAAAATATTTGAAGCTATCTGAAAGCGCAGGAGAGTGACCAAAAGCAGACAGAAACTGAAGAAGGCTTGAAAGAAAGTAAGAGATTCATGTTTATAAGTTATTCCCCCAGGAAATCCCTCAGTCAGCAGAGGGATATAGAGCAGCTAGAACTTAAAAAGAAAGCTGAGATCTCACTAGTTTAATGATGGAAGGATGGATTTTAGGCTGCCAAAGTCATTTCAACTTTCGAGAGAAGACGTGGTCCTGGAAGGGAGGGAGTCACAAAGTAGATGTATTGAGAATATACAAATGATTCCTAAAACTTTGTAGGAAAGAAAAACTACTCAATTTTAGAAAATGGGCAAAAGAATTAGACACTCAAAACATCATATTTTATATGCATGTTTCACTGTATGTATTTTTTCATACAAAATTTTGAAGAGAACAAAAGCAAAGCATACACCATTCTTATTCACATGGAAATCACATTTTAGACTAATATAATTTTATTTTAACTGGTTAATTAATAACTTGAGGAGTTAGATTTGAATATGAGAATGATCAGAATAATAAGGTATAAACTCAAAATAAAATCCTAAGGCCAACACCAACTGAATAAACACCCCTGTGGCCAAGGGGACCCCAGGACAACCTTAAAATTGAATTCCTAGGCATGACAGTATGGGGGATCAGACATGCCTCACTATACCCCACTCCCTTTTATGATTTAGATACAGTGACTGATCAGCATTAATGTCAAAATACAGATCATAAGACTGACAGAACAGTCTCTTTGTAAAAGATACCAATTTATAAACAGGACCTAAGGCCATGCCAGGCAAGGGCTACATCATGCACCTCTATTAATACATTTAAAGAATAAGCTATGCTCTAACTGCCGTTAAGATTTTTCTTTTTCTCTCCCAGATAAACAAGCACTGTTCATGAGATAAGCAATATTAAAACAACTTGTAACTTCACCAGATGCTGACTAACTGACCCCTAGCTCCTGTTCCACCAGCTATAACTACAGCTTTCATTGAACAAGAGACTGATTTTAGTAACTCTCTCAGATAAGACCACTGACCATGGATTGGCTCCAGCTTGTTTACAGAGATTGCACGCTTACATGCCTTTGTGTTCTGAAAGGACCTTTTGATGTATAAGGCCTAATTGTAATACATCTGAATATTAAGTTTCCATCTCAAATTGAATATAGGTCTTATGTTACCTGCATGTTTTTGCGATACACGTGTGTCAGGACCACTTTCATGCATATTCGTAGCTCTTCCTGTAGGCTGTTGAATACATATGTTTAGCGAACCTATTCAGCATAAAGCTGTACCACAATCCCTCTTCCTTTAAAGTGCCTGGTGGCACTTGTCTGGTGGCCGTACTTCCCAACCTGCGGGATGGCCACCTTACAGGCTATAACCCTTTATAAGAAATAAAATCTTCTCTCCTTCCCAAATTTATACACTGTGATTATTTTTTAAGTTGGCAAAGGGTAAATGCATAATAAAATCTAGTGGGGTGTATGCAAACAGATACAGTGAACCTCAAAAGAACAATTGAAATACTTAACGAGGAGTTTGCCACTATGTGATACTGCCTGGCTCTGGTGAGTGAGATGCTTTACCAAGTTTTGCAGATACCCAGGTTCATGTAAATTTTTTGCCACACCTTGAGCTTAGTCTAGCAGGCAAGAAAGGTGATTATATGCCTTTCCCAAACGGGTGTCTTCAGTGCACACCAAACCTGGGACTTGTGGGAAGGTTAGACCCAGCAGAGAATGACTTTGGCATAGACACTGTTTAGATTTACCTTTGCATGATAATAACAACAGCAGATTGACTTTCAGTCAGTTTTATTTTTGCTTTTATATTCTCTGCCAAGAATGAAGAAAAGTACACCCATATTGTCTGCACCAGGGCTGATTTCTACCATTTGTTCCTTAGCATAGCATTGAAATCTCCATTTGTTAAAAGAGTTTAAAGATAGGACACTCTTCTTTACTTATCCACCATAGTCTCCCAAATTCTTAACAATTCCAGATTGTTTTGCTTCACCTTCCTCCATCTGCATAATGGAAAGAATGCTAAACAGAGACAGACTCAAGAAACCTGGGAGTTGCAACTCTATCTTTGCCACATAATCATATGTGTTAAATGAGATAAGTATATGGAACTGAGATCACACTCTCCTTTGAAATTTAAATGAAATTGCTCAAGATCACTAACTCACAATTTTGTGATTTTGTGAATTCCTAGGGATTTAGTTCCCCATAATTACAACTGATTCTGAGTCGCCATCTCTCCTCACTTCCTTGTTTCAGTATCTTCTTTACTCCAAAGTTGTTCTCTTCTCTGTCTTCTTTCAGACCCAGGTGTGAATACACAATGTCATTTTCTAGATTTTTACCAAATTCTCTCACCCAAGAAAGGAAATTATGTGTGTTGAAGACTGTACTGAAATTTTGGGTCAGGAA
The DNA here is from genome assembly GCF_000001405.40 of Homo sapiens. NCBI lineage: Eukaryota > Metazoa > Chordata > Mammalia > Primates > Hominidae > Homo > Homo sapiens. The sequence continues at coordinate 110,532,587 of NC_000003.12, forward strand.
AATGATTACAATCCAATAACATATATAATTAAAACTGAATATTAGACCTCGCTACTGATAAGTCCTGTAGGGGCCCCATCCATGGACTTGTTCAGTAGCATGTTTTTTCAAGTACCAACTCAAAACATGTCACCTGGTTGTCTGTTCCTCATACTCTCTTCCCAGCTAGCCTATCTTTTTCTCCAAGCATATATGTATGTGCTTTTCCAAACAGAAGTCTACCTATCTACTCTGGATCCTAAATTTAAGTAGCCCAGAAAAATAGGCAGAAACTAGGCATTCTGTTCTGTCTTTTTTCTCTCCTCACAACACTCTATAGTAAAAAGAATAAAGATATTTGTCCCCACTGAGATGGTTTACATCATCCCTCAGAGATGAAAAGCTATTATATTACAGTTAGCTGTCTTTTTAAATATAAATGCTTTTCCCCACAATGTACATATATGTTTAGCACATAAAAGTAATTTAATTAATTTCTGTTTCATTTCTGTACTATTGGTCAGATTGCTTCACCTTCCTTGGCCTTGCTACCCATTTAACAAAGCCTCAGTGCTGAACACTGCAAAGCCATGGGGGTGGAGCTACTCAAGGCCTTGAAAGCTCACCCTTGCATGAGTGTGCCCTGGATGTGGGACATGGAGTCAAAAGGAGATTATTGTGAAACTTAAAGTTTTAATGAATGCCATGCTGGATTGCAGACTTGTGTGGGGCTTGTAGCTCCTTTCTTTTGGCTGATTTATCCCTTTTGGAATGGGAATGTTTACCTAATGCTCATACTCACATGGTATTTTGGAAGTAACTAACTTGTTTGTTATTTTACAGGTTCAAAGGTGGAAAGTACTTGCCTTTCTTAGATAAGACTTTGGACTTAGGACTTTTGAGTTAATACTGGAATGAGTTAAGACTTTGGGGGGATTATTGTGAAGGTATAATTGTATTTTGAAATATGAGAAGGATATGAGATTTGGGAGGGGCCAGGGGCAGAATCATATAGTTTGGATGTGCGTTCCTGACCAAATATCATATTGAAATGTAATCCCCAATGTTGGAGGGGGCCTGGTGGAAACGGATTGTATCCTGGCACAGGGTTATTAATGAATGGCTTGGCACCATCCCCTTAGTACTGGCCTCACAATAATGAGTGAGTTCTCACAAGATCTGATTGTTTTAATGTGTATGGCACCTCCCCACTTTTTCTTGTTCCTGCTTTTGACATGTAAAATTTCTTCTCCCACGTCACCTTTTTCCATGATTGTAAGTTTTCTCAGACTTCTCCAGAAGCCAAGAAGATGCCAGCATTATGCTTTCTGTGCAGCCTGCAGAACTGTGATCCAACTAAACCTCTTTTTTCTTATAAGTTACCCAGTCTCAGGTATTTCTTTATAGCAATGAAAGAACAGCCTAATACATAATCTTACTCAAACTTTTCTGAAAAATAGAGAAGGAAAGAATCCTTCCAAACTCATTCTATGAGGCCAGTGTTACCCTGATACCAAACCAGACAAAGACATATTAAAAACAAACAAACAAAAAACCAGACCAATATCCCTGATGAATATTGATGCAAAAATCTTCAACAAAATAACAGCAAACCAAATTCAGAAACACATTGCAAAAATCATCCATCACTACCAAGTGGGATTTATCCCCATGATGCAAGGATGGTTCACCATACATGAATCAATCAATGTGATACATCATATTAACCAAATGAAGAAAAAAAACCATATGATCATTTCAATTAATGCTGAAAATATATTTGATAAAATTTAACATCTCATTGTGATAAAAAATCCCAACAAACTTGGTGTAGAAAGGACAAACCTCAACACAATAAAAGACATACTTGTCAGACCCACATTGTGTGTCATGTTTTATGGAGAAATACTGAAAGCCTTTCTCCTAAGATCTGAAACACGACAAGGATGCCCACTTTCACCACTGTTACTCAACATTGAACGGGAAGTCCCAACTAGAGCAATCAGACAAAAGAAAGAAATAAAGGGCATCCAAATTGGAAAGGAAGAAGTCAAATTATCCTTGTTTGCATATACTATAATCTTAGATTTGGAAAAACCTGAAGACTACACCAAAAAAACTATTAGAACTAAGAAAAGAAATTTGTAAAATTGCAGGATACAAATCAATATACAGATATCAGTAGCATTTTTATATGCCAATAGCAAACAATCTGAAAAAGAAATCAAGAAAGTAATCTCATTTGAAATGGCTACAAATAAAATAAAATACCTAAGAATTAACCAAAGAAGTGAAGTATGTCTGTAGTGAAAACTGTGAAACACTGATGAAAGAAATCGAAGAGGACATAAAACACATGGAAGAATACTTCATGTTGATGTATTGGAAGAATCAGTATTGATAATATGCCCATACTAATCAAAGCAACTCACAGATTCAATGCAATTCCTACCAATATCCCAATTATATTCTTCATAGAAATAGAAAGCACAATCCTAAAATTTATATAAAACCACAAAATACCCAGAATAACCAAAGCCATGTTGAGCAAAAAAGAACAAACCTGGAGGAATCACATTACCTGGCATCAAATTGTACTATGGAGATGTCATAATCCAAACAGCATGGTATGGTACTTGCGTAAAAAGAGACACACAGGCAAGGCATGGTGGCTCACGCCCGTAATCCCAGCACTTTGGGAGGCCAAAGCGGGTGGATCACGAGGTCAGGAAATCAAGACCATCCTGGCTAACAAGTTGAAATCCCATCTCTACTAAAAAATACAAACTTTAGCCAGACGTCGTGGTGGGCACCTGTAGTCCCAGCTATCTGGGAGGCTGATTGAGGAGAACGGCATGAACCCGGGAGGTGGAGCTTGCGTGAGCTGAGATTGCGCCACTGCCCTCCAGCCTGGGCAACAGAGCGAGACTCCATCGCAAAAAAAAAAAAAAAAAAAAAAAAAAAAAGACACATAGACCAGTGAAATATAATAAAGAACCAGAAATTAACCCATACATCTAGAGTGAACTCATTTTTGACAAAGGTGCCAAGAACATACACTAGGGAAATATAGCCTTTTCAATAAATCGTGCTGGGAAAAGTGGGTATCTATACACAAAAGAATAAAACTACACCTCTATCTCTCACTATATACAAAGTCAAATTATAATGAATTAAACACTTAAATCTAAGACCTCTAACTATGAAATTACTGAAAGAAAACTTTAGAGAAGCTCTCCAAGACATTGGACTGGGCAAAGATTTATTGAGTAATACCCCACAAGCGTAGGCAACCAAAGGAAAAATGGACAAAATGGAGTTACATCAAGTTAAAAAGCTTCTACCCAGCAAAGAAAACAATCAATAAAGTCAAGAGACAATGCACAGTGTGGGAAAAATATTTGCAAACTATCCATTTGACAAAAGATTACTAACGAGAATTTATTAAGAGCTCAAATAATTGTAAAGGAACAAATCTAATAATTTTATTTAAAAATATGCAAAATATCTAAATAAACTTCTCTCAAAACAAGACATAAAAATGGAAAATAGGCATATGATAAGGTTCTCCACATCACTAATCATCAGAGAAATGGCCAATCCAAATTATCATGAGATATCTCACCTTATTTAAAATTGCTTTTGTCCAAACGACAAGAAAAACAAATACTGGTGAGGAGGTGAAGAAAGGGGAACTATCAGGCACTGTTGTTTGGAATGCAAATTAGTACAGCCTCTATGGAGAACAGTGTGAAGATTCCTCAAAAAACTAAAGATAGAACTATCATATGTGCCAGCAACCCCACTACTGGGTATTTTTCCAAAGAAAATTACATCAATATGTCAAAGATATATCTGCACTCCCATGTTCCTTGCAGCACTATTCACAGTAGCCAAGATTTGGAAGTAATCTTTGTGTCCATCAACAGATGAATGGATAAAGACAATGTGGTATTATACAAAATGGAGTACTATTCAGCCATAAAATATGATCTTGTCATATCATTTGCAACAACATGGATGGAAGTGTAGGTCATTATGTTAAGTGAAATAAGCCAGTCCAGTTACAGAAAGAAAAACTTTGCATGTCCTCACTCATTTGTGGGATCTAAATATTAAAACAATTGAACTCATGGAGATAGAGAGTAGAATGGTTACCAGACACTGGGGAAGGTAGTGGCGCGATACAGGGAAAGTGGGGATGATAAATGTGTACAAAAAATAATTAGAATGAATAAGATCTAAAATTTGATACCATAACAGGATGATTACACTTAATAATAATATACATTTAAAATTCTAAAAGAATATATTGAAATTATAACATGAAGAAATGATCATGCTTGAGGTGATATATACCACATTTGCCCTGATCTGATTATTACTCTTTGCATGCCTGTATCAAAATATTTCATCTAACCCATAAATATGTATGCTTACTACATACCCTTTAAAATAAATACTACTTTTTTAAAAACATAATTTATTAATCTGATAAAACCAAAAATGATGTGCAGCCTCTCAGCAGGTATTTCACTGTGAATAACCCCACATTTCTTGTGTAATTTGGTAGTCATTTAAATACTATGCCCTCAACTCAAGAGTAGCATTGAGGATGAGAGGTGACAACAACAACTAGAAGATAGCCAGAAATAACCTTCATGGGAGTTGCTAATACCAGTGGGTTCATGTAATTCTATATTAAACCAAAAAAAATATATATGATACTGGACTCCGTCACAGCTCATTAGAATCACCCATAGATTTCCTAGATCCTTGCTTTTCCCAGTGGAAAACAATCTTCTATAGTTTCCTGATACTGAAGATATAGCAATCATATATCTGGCTTTACACAGACCGTACCTATTTAAGATAGCCTGTCTCATTGCTAGACCACATACCAACATATATGTCTTAAAATATAATCCTGCCAACAAAAAAAAATGGAACCCTAGAAATTTCAGAACCATTATTTTATCCTATTTTAAGTCAGTTTTAAATTGCCAGTTAGCTGCAATTTCCTCTTCTCAAGTAACTGAGCATTATATCAGTTCCACTAAAAATGTGGCGTTAGCTGACCGATGGAATAAAATATTAGTAATACTTCACCTCCAGCCACTGGACGGACCAGTGGTGAGCCCTGCAGCCTAGGGGACAACCTTTAGCTGCTCAAGGATCAGATTTCCTCTCTCTCTCTCTCTAACATGAATAAAGAGATACAGAGACCTTAGTACAACAGTTTAGGTACTTGACCTGCAAGTTCACACAGGGTCATATTTGACTCCTTCATTTTTGACCACATGTTCAAAGATGAGATGCAGACAAAGATGGTCTCTTCTCTTGGATAGGAGAACGAAACAGACATACAAAGAAAAGCCTTGGCCCTAAAGGCCCCCAGGTCCTCAGAGGTCATACATCTTCCGTGGTGCCTGGCTGAGATTTGCTTCTTTATTTCTCAATATATCTTTCCATTTAGGCTTGCCTAAATGGTTCATTATTATGAAATTGCCTTGACTAAAACACCAGAATCTGAGACACAAGTTGCTAACTGCTGAAGAAAACGCTTTATACAATTGTAGTAAATTTCTGGGCCATACAAATTAAAATATACTTTGAAGGTAGGTACTCAATGGAAGATAGATTTTTTTTTTTGTTCTTCACAATAATGTATCTTTTTTTTTAAAATCTACTACTACAAACACTTTAAACAGGACTTTCCATAAGTGCTATTCCCTTTAAAAAATTGGAAGGATCATTTACATTACTATTTCAAGCAAGTAAAGGGTGCAGGAAAATAGCTTGATTACATCCACTTGTCCTAACTTTTAACAAACTAGCTGTATGGCTGTGGGCCATCACTTTCTTTCATCAGGGCTCTATCCCTATCTAAAAACAAAGAGGTTAAATTAGATGCCATCAAAGATTTCTTCAAGTATTAGAATAATTGTAGCTCTAAATTGATAGGAGATTACAAATGGTGCCTAAAAAAATTATAGTCACCATTAGGTTTCTCCAAGGTTTCAATTAACTTACTAAGCTGAGCATTGTGATAAGATTGCAATGTAATTGTGATTAATGTTGTAATCATTATGATAATTTTTATCATAACAAATCAGGAGGAGATCTTCTACAGCTACAAAGGCAACAGTATAATACAGGTTGTTGCTAATATTAACCATGCCTTTATTTACATAGAGTTTTACAGCTTAAGAAAACATTTTATATACATTATCTCATTTGATCTCACATCTACTCTATGAAATGCTCTTTAATTAAGTGTGCTCACAGAAATCGAGAATATTTGAAGACAGAATAATGGAAGTTTACAGAATGAGAAACTCCAACTTAATGGAGAAAATTAGTTTGATTCTTAAGGCAGGTAAAACAGTGATTCCCAACATTTTAAGTGGGTGTGTAGGTCATAGATCATTTAAAAATCTGAAGAAAGTCATGAACCCTCACCCCAAAAATATATATGCCTGCAACTATTAAAAGTTAAATTTAATATAGGGAACCCCTATGATATGGTTAGGCTTTGTGTCCCCACCCAAATCTTATCTTGAATTATAATCCCCATAATTCCCATGTGTCAAGGGAGAGACCAGATGGAGGTAATTGGATCATAAGCAATTTCTCCATGCTGTTTTTGTGATTATGAGTGAATTCTCAACTAGATCTGATGGTTTTATAGGGCAGTTTTCTCTGCTCTTGCTTGCTCTTCTCTCTCTCGCCTGCCACCATGTAAGATGTGCCTCTTCTTCCCTGATTGTAAGTTTCCTGAGGCCTCCCCATCCCTGTGGAACTGTGAGTCAATTAAAGCTCTTTTCTTTATAAATTACCCAGTCCTGGGTATGTCTTTATACAAGTGTGAAAACAGACGATTACACCCTAGAAGCCCATATACCTCTCACTATTTACCCCTGATTTTAAGTCTAGAATGTTGCTCATTTTGGGAACTCAGCAAAGGGAAAAGAAAAAAGAATTTTTCTCTATTGTCTATGAATTTAGGTAGCAGAAAATATTTTTAATATTTGTTGAGTATTGCCTACATGTTAAATATTTTCCTTCCTTATCTCATTTAATTCTAACAATAGCCCTATAAAGTAGGAATCACCTTCAATTTACAGTTGAATCTCAGAGAGATCTAGTAACTTGTCACACAATTAGAAAGCAACAGAAGGAATTTAAAATTAGGTGTCTCTGATACGATAGGATATACTCTTTCCACTACACCGTACTGCTAACATGTAGACACATTGTTCAGAAAATTAGCACTTTTGTTTCGACTGCCCTTGTTAAAATTGGGCTTAAAAATTTAGGTGACCATATTTGCATAACTACATCCTTAAAGTTCTTAACAAGAGGTGAGGAGCGTTAACGTTCCTAAAGAGGTAATGGTGTTGCTTTACATGTGGGGAATTGTTTGTATTGTGAGGATACAACGAGGTAAATAGAACAGACTAAGGATAGAGCCAGGCTCAGGGAAGCACATCACAGATAAGCCAATTAGGAAAGATGCTAGAATATTTATGATATCAGAAGCAAGAAGGAGATACAAGCATTTCCACCAGAGGGAAATGTGGGACTACCACGAAAGATAGAGTAGGGTCATAAGTGTCACCTGTTTTCAGATATGTAAGCACTGCAGCAGGACTGGAGCCTCCCCACAACATTTGGGAAAAACCACCTCCTGTGACTTGCATGGTTCAGTCCCAGAATTCTGGGGCACAACCCTATTATTCCTTTATTGGCCCAATCCCATAATTCCTACTCTTACCTTCTTTAATGAACTCCCAAATAGTGTCCTTAACACCTTTCAGGGGTCGTTAGTAATAGCCTGTTAGTGAAACCAAAACAGGTTAGCTCTCTGGGCCATTGTTTCCTTTCAGCTCACCTGACTGCTAAAGAAAGGAACTAATACCCTTATAACAACTGCTAACAGAAGGCTCCACCAGAGCAGTTCCCATGGGAGCTTCTCCTGAGAATTGGATGCTGCCATCACTGGATAAAGAGAGGGTCGTTTCTCCAGGGACTAAGTCCTTGGAAATCCCAGTTCTCACCTTGCCATTGTATACAATATGTTTCTCTCATAGTCTCCACTGCAATGCCAGACATCCACTGCTATTATAGGACCGAACTGGGGTCTGCCCGCCTGGCACAGGAAGACCAGATATCCACACTGAAGTTTGCAGTGGGAGAAAGGAGGGCATTTATTTGCAGGGCACCAAGCAAAGAGGAGTAGGTAGCTAATACTTAAATCCTGACCTCTCCAGAGACTTGAAGATAAGGGATTTTAAAGGCAGTGGTACATTTTTGGAAAGCCAAAATTATAAATTAATAAATGGTGGCTACATATTGATTTTAACCTAAAAGGGCAGGATGGCTTGAAGCAGGAGCTTACAGGTTATATGTAGATTCAAAGATTTGCTGAATTGCAATTGGTTAAGGAGGAGAAGCTTTGTTTTAGAATTTGGGGTCAGCAGAAAAAATGTTAGCTCTGGCTTGTGGGTGTGACTCCTTTCAAGCCCCTCAGGCAGAAATTGAGAGCAAAGAAGAGCGGTCAGAGTTGAGTCTTCACTTCCTCCTTATCTGAGTTCTATGTGCCACTGGATCAATTCACTGGGATCCCGGTTTCTGAAAAACAACTTTGAAACATATGTTAAGATGTTTTCTTTAGTTTCTATAAGGGCACCAAACATCCCATGGTTCTAGGTTCCTTGACTATTGTTTTAGGCTACTATTACTTTCTTGTTTATCAAGTTGATTATTTACTTTTCAGGGTTATCTAGGTGCCAGGAATGTCCCTTGAAGGAATTCAAAATTTTACGTTATTTCCATGCTTTTGGTACAGAGGACACAGGTCCTTAAGAGGGCATTCCTGCTTCGTCTGACTCCTAAGGCTTCCAATTGGTAAATCTGGTAAAAGAACAAAAATGTATCTATTTATCCATCCATCCATCCAACCATCCTCCTGTCTATCTATTTTTTTTAACTCCTGGGGTAATACTAGTAATCAGTTTGGAATATCTCTGCGCTACAGAATATGCATAAGCAGGTGTGCAGTTCAGATTTTTTACATGGAATATCACCAGAAACAAATATTCAAAAATAATTTCAGAGTCTAGAATATGCTATAATGCATTTGAAGATGAATAGTAATTTTTATTAGGTCAGTTTAGGAGAAGAACTGCATGCATTTTTTGTAAGATGTAAATACACAATTATGTGTTATTCATTATTTGGCACAACTTGTAGCTGTCAAAAAGTTAGCACTTTTCTCTCTTCTAGACGCACCTCTATGCTTAAGACTTATTTTCTTAGCCTCAGGCTGAACTGTCCCTCCAGACATCCAGAGAAAGCAAGGCACTCTTCTGTTTGAAACGCTGCTTTATCCCCTGGACTCCATGTGCAAATTGACCTCCTCAAAGTCCCTTGAACTGTGACTCAAATTTTATCTGCTATAATAAAATTTTATCTGCTTTTATCTCAATCTCAATCTCAATGACCACATCCCAGGTTTACCTCTAATTATAATATTATAGATATGTAATATTTATATTTATATATTATATTTATATCTAGTATTATGTAATTATCTTTCCTAATAACTGTAACTTTATTTACATCCTTTTGTAGTTCTTATTTACCAAGTAGGTGCTACTGTAATTGATTCACATTTCAGCTACCTTGCCTCAGGGTCATGATTTCCTCTGGCATTATGAGAATTACTCTCCTACATTTCTGTTTTACACCATGAATCCTGTTAAACAGGGATAACCCAGCTTGATTTGTAAGAAGAGGTAGTTTCTACAAAAAATTGACGGGCTTTAAATTTTGAAAACTATTGTGTGGCAAATATCACCACAGGGCTTTGAAAACTCCAAATGAAAACTAAAGAATCAGTATTTTAGAATTTGCCATTTTAAGACCTTAGTAAAGATGCAGGAAATAAGACAAAGGGACAGAAGAAGTTAAAGAAGTAAAAACTACATTAAAAAAGTAAAAGTTTAAGGTCACTTGTAGGATAGAGGCTAAAAATTAAAAGAACAATTGATAGCAGAATGTTAAAAATCCTGGCAGTGACTCCATACCTCAGTTATTTCAATGTAGTTATCCTACCACATTTTTACAAGGTTTTGCCCATTTTGTATTCATATGGAATACCACATGGAGCTCGTGTGTGTGTGTGAGAGACTCAAATCTGCTATTACCCAATCTCACTAACACATTTTCTTTAAATTGCCCTGCAATTCCCAGTGACTTCAACTTCAATTTAATACCAGAATAATTGACTCCTGGTTAATTCCGAACTTCTTTCACAGAAAAGAGACTGATATTGTGTACTGTATTTTCGGAGAGCCATGCTGACTGTGCTCAGAGGGAGCTGGACTTTGTGTCTTATCTTCAGGCCAGAAATCATGAGTTCTGTTGAACACAGGAAAGCAAGAGTCACAAATGTTATGCATGCAGCAAGAAGGCATTTACCAGATGCCAGTGTCATGCTTCCCAGTCTCCAGAACTGTAAGAAATAAGTTTATTTTTATTATAAATTACCCAGTTTGTGGTATTCCATTATAGCAACAGAAAACAGACTAAGACATTATGTGTAGAAAACTCAGATTTATTAAATGTTAACGTATTGCTGTATTCGTTCCAGATCATGCTTTGTAAAAGAAATAAAACATTATAAATACAGCTAAGACCCCACTCCTTATTTCTTCTTCCTTCTTTTCCAGAGGTAACCACCATTCTGATGTTAATATTTATCAGTTTCAAACACATTTTAAAAAATGCATATACTATCATTTGTATATTTTCTAATTTACACACAGATATCATCACACTCTTAAATATCATTTTATCACTCAGTCTATTGATCTTTTTAGTTATATGCATTGTGATACATGAAGCTCTGACTAATTCATTTTAACTGTTATGCAGCATTCCACTTTACTAATTAAAGATACACACTTATTACTCTATTAAGAGATGGTTAGGTAGGTCGTTGTCATTTTTCTTCTATTTTAAAAATACAATAATTATCCTTCTTCTGCAAGTTTTGGAAAAATTTTATAAGTAGATATCTAGAGGTCTACTGTTTTAGATATGTAGTAGAATCAATGGGTATCTTTAGCCCTACAAGATTCTGACAAATTGCTTTCCAAAGTTTTGGTAGCAATTCATACTCTTACAAAAGGCTATTTCTCTTATCTTTGCCACAGTAACACACTCTTAAATTTTACAAATTGATAGTGTGTAAAATGGTATATAATTATGTATTTTTAATTTGTTTTGCTCTAATTACTAAAATAATAAAGCATCTTTTAATAGTTCCCTTATTATTACCTTTACATCTTTTTGTTGGTCTTATTAAGGGCCTGGGAAGCAAGCGAGATAGAGAACAAACACAAGAGTCCAACCAATAAGTTACAAAAATAAGTGGCTCCTGCCTAATGATAGCTTGGATATTGCATTTATAACATAAATATAAAATATTATAAATGTTATAAATATATAGGTATATATTATATATACATATATAATTGTATATAATTTTATATGTATTTATATATTGTATATAGTTATATATTATATACATGTATAATTATATATAAATAATATTATAAATACATATTTCTGTTATAAATTAAACACATATAAATATGTGTGTAATAGCTTACATTGACTCTGTTGCCTTTGTATTACAGCATTCGTCATCACAATTCTTATGTACTTATTCTGCCCTTCTTAAAATAATTGTCAACCAAAGAGAAAAACAAAAACATAAAAATAATTTGAAATAATGGAGTATATTTCTCTCAAAATTGTGATGAATGAGAAAACTCTCACATGCCTCTCTGGGATAAAATGACCCTTTGAATATTTAAGTGAGTTAGGAAGATATGATAAATTTAATTAATGAGCTACAACTAAAATACAAAGAAAGATCAGCATGGCCAAAGTCTATCAGCTATTTCTGACAGAGAAAAACTAACATGACTATGAAATAGCTTCTTATTTTTAATTAAAGAACTATCAATCATATAAGATTTTACTGTGGGGCATCTTTTTAGAGCAAGTCATCCACTATTGTATCTCACGGAAATTTAAAAATAGAAAATCTTATTTTCTCCATTCACTGTCATTACCTTTGGTATTAATTGCCATAGACATTGTGGATATATAGGATGAAATGTTTCAAGCAAGCGCAATTACTATGGCAGCTCTGCATTTTTTTACATTTCATATTTTTCCCTGATTTATATGCTTTTAGGTTACCCATTAACATGCTTTGTTGCATTCCATGTAAACTGAAATGGGATCAATGCACATCTTAAACTCATTATGCTGATATTACAAATGCAAATTGCCTGCTACCTACAGAGTAGTTAAATATCATCCTGCAGTTTCCTGCTACTTATGAACAATTTAGAAATAACATCTGCAATTTTAAATATGTTTTCTTTGTCTACTCAACCTTGCAGTGCTCCAAAATATATGCCATATCTTGGAGAAAGACTTACAAAGTCAAACAGACCATGACCCCTTTGCTTGCCAGATTACTGAGTTAGAAATGAAAATGCATAGCCACTGTGTTCAAGTCAAAATACTAGGAAATTCTCAATAGCTTCATTGTACATTTGTTTGTTGAAGTATCAACACGAACACCTTACTGTCCACACATGGGGGCCATACTTCCCAGCAGGTGGCTTTTGGTTTTTACAGCCTCTCATGACAGAGCAGCAAACATTGAATATCCCAGGGCATTCCAAAGTGATGCTTTGTGAAGCTTCTCCCACTAGCAGCATTACAGAAAAGTACTGATCAGAAAATAAATAGCCAATTTTACCACAATGTGTAACGGCAATTCTAGGATAATATGGGTTTCAAAAGCATAATTATGAAACTAACTCTTTAAAAATATTGTATGAGATGTCTAAGCAATTCATATAAGGACATATTCTAATCTTAATCATCAGGAAAAAAGTTTGATTCCTTTACTTCTCTTGGATCTCACCCTACTCAAGTATAAGGCTCAGGGTTTGATTAATAATTTGTGCTTTCCTCCTCAGGTTTGGGACTTCATTTGATCTCTCAATAAATGCCAATGTATAGCTGGTTTTCCTTTAAAAAATTATTTTTCTATCCCTTATTTCTTCCTTATATATCTACCACTAGTCTACTTGTACATGCTCCTTCCTAGATCTCATGTCCTGTGAACCTCCCAGAGCAGCAATTCACTCACTTGATAAGCTCATCAATGCTTCTATGTCATAGGAAAGGAGGTAATCACTAATGACATGCATTTTAGAGGTTTCTTTGCTTATTTCTTTCCTGTTGTCCAACAAAGATGATTTTAATTGGAAAGTTCAAGCCAGAAGGAAGAGAAAAACAGTGAGTGAGTTGGTAGTACAAAAAAAAAGTGGCATTTTGAAGATACTCTAGGTGTTATTTCTTTAATTTCTTTTACTGTAGCATACGTAATGATTCAAATGTATTATCCCTTTATTGTATCATAATAAAAATTTGTAATTAAGTTCATCTAGTGAAGTATTAATAAAGACATTGTACTGGTTTCTTAGGGCTACCATAACAAAATACCACAGACTTGGTGGCTTAAATAACAGAAACTTATTTTCCCACAGTTCTGGAGGCTGGAAGTCCATAATCAAGGTGTGGTAGGTTTGGTGTCTCCTGAGGCCTCTCTTCTTGGCTTGCAGATGGCCCCTTCCTCACCATGTCCTCCCATGATCTTTCCTTTGTGTACATGAATCCCTGGTCTTTGTGTATACAAATTTCCTCTTATAACGATACCAATGAGATTAGATTTGAGCCTACCCTGATCACCTCATTTGAACTTAATCACCGTTTTAAGCCTTTATCTTCAAATGCATTCACATTCTGTGATACTAGGGGCTAGAGCTTCAATAGATGAATTTAGGAGGAACACAACTCCTAAATGGAGTGCTGAAAACCTCGCACTCCATTTTGAATGCTTCGCTTTAAAAGGAATTTTGACAAAACAGAGTATATGCATGGAATCATGACATAGTTTTGAATTCTGGTCATTCTTTCTTTAGAATATAGTTAAACAAATTGGTAACAACAAATATTTACCAGAAATACTATGTGTCCCCTGTTTAACAAATCTGGCATTAACTGATTAGCACATTACAAGCCTGGACATGGTTTCTGAGTGCTTTTCACTCCTGCTTTCTTGGCTGTTGCTAATAATTGATAAGAATTGGTACATAAAAAGAAACTTATTTGCCATGGTTGATTCACATCTTAAACTGGAGGACATAAAATTAAAAACATATATTGTAAATAAGTTAATTTATTCGTGTTATTCCTCCATACCTAAACACTATTGTATTAATACAGTCTATAAGCCCAAGTGCTCAGTGTTTTTCAAAAATAGTATGTATTATTGGCATTTATGTGGACAAATTCATTGTGCTGTACTCTGCATTGGCTACTACTACGTTGTCTCCTACTCTACACTGCCTACTCCTAAATGTTTGCAATATCCCCCAGTCATTTTGACAACCAGAAATGTCCCTTCACGTTTCCAAATTTCTCTTGAGGTAGGTTCTGCTACAGTTATGAAGTGCAAAAAGCTACAAACGCAGTCACATCACATTATAATAATATCACCTAAAATCCTTTAAGATTTTTCAAAAGTTGTTTTTCTCAACCTGCTTTGCTTGTTCTCGGAGTTTTGTAGGTATGGTCGTTAAATTTTATCTTGCTGATTTAGCAATGTATACCAGATTTTGAAAAAGTTTGCCATTTGACCCTGCATTTCCATTTCTAGAAACTGAATATATATACAGGCAAGTATGTAGAGATGAATACACACAGGTATCATCAAAACATTCTTGATCATGATAACACATATCAAACTACTAAATGTTTGTCCAGAGTCCATTGTTAATTATAGTATATCTACCTAGTGGAATACTTTGTAGCCACCATGATGCTGAATGACACATAAATTTATTAACCTGGAAAGATGATAATTAAGAAAACAGTGCAATAAAATAATATTCTAATATGTTACAAAGTGTGTGTATAACAATACACAGAAAATATATATATATATATATACATACAGTTTTAAAATTTATTGTTTCAAGGTACTAGAAAACAATAAGTTAGGTTATTTAATTATGTGTATTAGGCCTGGCATATAACTTTTTTTAATATGGCTCCTAGTTTTTTACAATAAATACTTATTATTGTTATGATCAGAAAAAAAATTCTTATAATTTATCTTGTCACGTTTGATTCATAATTCCACCCTTAGATCTTCTACATCCCAATTCAATCATTTGATGTATTTTTGCATCATTCCTAAACCTGAAAAACAGTCTCCAAATCTTGACTCAAATTTTGAATAGACTCATCTATACAGGACTAAAGAAAGAACCTTAAGCTAAGTCACTAGAAAATCCCTTTATTAGCCAATACTCTTTTAGTAAAGTTAATCAACTATATGGTTCACAAGAGCGTCAATAAAGATTTAGTGTAAATTGCCTCGTTGAGTTCCCCAAATGATATATCAATTGCCTTGTCCTTATCCATTTAGAGTAGTACTTATAAAATATTTTTTAAAAATTAAGAAAGAAAGGAAGATCAAGAGAGAGAGAAAGGAAGGAAGGAAAGAAGGAAGGTAGGAGGGTAGGAAGAGAGGAAAGCGAGAAAGTAAAGAAGGAAAAAAATGTGATAATTTGATTTGATTTATTTTTTGTAAACCCATGCTGATCCCCTTCAATAAGCTGTTCTAGAATCTTTCCTGAATCCCTAATATGCCTCCCAACTATGTCATGCTCTTTTTTGCCTTCAGATCTTGACCCATGCCATCTTTTTCTTCTGGAGAGCTCTCTCAGCTCCCTGTCCCCTCCACACATATACCTTCCCCCACACATATACCTTCACATTGTAATTGTCATTTTTTAGTGGATCTCCTGGTAAGAAATTAAAATCTTTTACTTTATACTCTTTGGAATCCCATTTTGTACTATTTGCTTCTGCATTAACTGACTATTTACTTGTATGTAATCTCTGGATCATAAACTCATTAAAGTTCAGGTTAGTTTTCTGTTTACTACTGTATTCCTAACACCTAATACCATATCTGGCACATTGGTATAAATGGTATACATGATTACCGAATGACTAAATGGCTGAATAAAAAAATTAATCAATCAATATATTGCCCATAGTGAACATCAAAGTCACCAGTAGTCTGGAGTTTATGGAATGAGTAATTTCATCTGCCTGTTTGCAACCTTCTGGAATATTTCCATTCTCTAAAGAGCCTTTCCAAATTTTTAGACAGGGGTTTAGAATTAACATGTGAGACTTCTGAGCCCCCAGTATGTAATTCATCTAAGTTTACAACCTTGAATTTACTCAAAGGTCTCAAAGCCTCTCTTACTTTTCCTGTACTTCAGTTTCCTTTTACCAATATTTCTCCAGATGCTTTTTATTCCGTAGAAATCCTATTCATAATTCATATTTAATTAATTAAAATCATGAAAGTTATCAGAATTTGAACTCCTACAAATTAAGTTATTGATTTTAACATTCTAAAGCAAAGTATGTTTTCTGAATTATTAGACACAGTCTTTGAATATTAGCATTTGGGAAAACAAAGGAAATTTTGTGAAAAAAAAATCTATCAACTAACCCCTGATAAATGTTGACCGGAAAGAATTAAATGGTAATAGTAATAATCAGAATCACAAAAGCAACCAGGTCTGGTGTCTCATCTCATATTTAAATACTCTTAACTGTAAAATCCATTATAAACTGTGAAATTACAATTGTTTCCCAGCAGAACGTGATCATTAATAGCGCTTGTGACCAATTCCTAATTTAGATAGAATTTTAAAGACCTGCCCCTGATTCATAGTATGTAGGAAAGAAATCAGACACCCAAAACTGAGATTTTATTATGAGCATTTTTTTGTTCACAAACACCAGCTATTCTCAAATAGTTTATTTAACATGTCACCATTGTCTAGTAAGTATCAACCATTTTATTGCCCAGAGGTTATAAAGGGGCTTGTTTGACATTAGCTTGCATTTGCCCTCACAATTCCAAAGACACTTTTCAAAGAAGATAATCAGCATAGAGAGATATTAGAAAGGAGTATGCAATGCAGAGGTGAATACGAGGTCACACTCGCGACTTTCTGAAGCAATAGCAAAAGCAAAAGGAAAAAAAAGATAACAAAAAAATTTTAAAATGGTCTTTTAACAGAGACAAAAGCAGTTTACTTCCAAAGGAATGTTGTTTACTACTCTGCCTATTTGGAATATCATATCCCCAAATCTAGCTCACAAATCAATTATAAACATCTTTATAATTTAAATATATAGCCCAGTTAATTCTGAAGCACAAATGTGTAAAGTTCCCTCACTTCCCTGACTTGAAGAGTGAATATTTTCTCGTGTTGTACATGAAA
Source organism: Homo sapiens (assembly GCF_000001405.40). Classification (NCBI taxonomy): domain Eukaryota; kingdom Metazoa; phylum Chordata; class Mammalia; order Primates; family Hominidae; genus Homo; species Homo sapiens. The sequence continues at coordinate 110,550,043 of NC_000003.12, forward strand.
ACAATTCCTGAAGGATTTTTATGAACCATAGAACTGTAGGTCTCACCTACAATTCCACACTAAGCAAGCTGGTAAGATCAATAACAAAGAAAAACAGTCTTGAAGCAACCAAACAAATAGAAGTTTGGTAAGATCACAATGGGATGATCCACTTAGTCCTTTGAGGGATTGTGGATAAAAGAATAAACATCTGGGGTTATGGGTTACTATAGTTCTCTATTTTAAATCTTTATTTTCCTAACTTTTCACAATTTTTATGTATTATGTTTGCCATTGTAAAGAAAATTAAATATTTCCCTATGGCTGTCGAGAGTGGAGTGGCATATCTAAGCTTGGGTACATATGAATAAAGGTAGATTGAAAAGGTTTGGGCTAAATTCCATTAAAGGTTGTTTTAAACAATGAGTCAAAAAGAGACTGGGGAAAAGAAAAAGTCATTTGATCAGATAATAAGTGTCTTTTAAAAAGCAAATTGCTGGTAGAGAGAATCGATTACTTCTATTTATGGCAAAGGGCAAAGAGTGGGATTTTTCATGAATAATTCTGGGGTCATTTTTATCTAACATCTCATAAATGATCTGAAGCAGAAGCGCAGAGTAAAATCTCACAGTTCAGAAGCACGCAACTCTTCCAGAGAGTAAAGTGACAAGTGAATGAAGATAAGCAGTAGTAAATTTCTCAGCGTCTGCAATGGACAGTATAACAGATAAAGGGCCCTTTGAAGGTAGAGACCGTGTAATTTCATTCAACTCTCTATCTCTAGCTCCAATCACATGGTATGCACTCCAATATTTTTGCATAGAAAAAAGAAGGAAAGTTTGTCAAGTGGAAAACCAAAAAGTTAAGTCAAGGAGAGCAATCTATGATACTAAAGAAGTACAATTATAAACTTAAGAACAGTCAGCTGCAAAGGGACAAGAAAATAGATGGAGGTAGTGAGCTCAATATGCCCCTGGGACTAAGACCATAAAGTCAATTCAGTTCAATGCAGCAAACATGGAGCACATGAGGAGACCCTGGTATAGATAGACTTGAAGTGAATGACAGCAAAGGGGCCTGGATTAAATAATTCCATCTCCCACTTGAACGTAATTGAGCTCTTTACAATTCTCTAATTTTAGTTAGCTATTTTCACTTGGCTTATACTGTGATAAATCTCAACACTTGTAGTAAAGCAACTTTATGAAAGACAATGGCCAAACAGAGAAGTTAGAACAAGAGATTATTTGTTGAAAAATTTAGATGTTTTTATCCTGAGTTTTTTTTTCAGCCTTGATTTTATAGATTGCATTTCCATGGCCACATTTGATATATTTCTCTGTCCCTTTGGTTTTCTCCAAATTGATAGTTTTACAGGTTCCAGCAGATTTAGGTTCATCTTTAGCAAAAATATTATTTGAGGATATATTTATTTTAAGGAGACTCTCAAACGTCTTCCAGAGGCCAATGTGATGGGAAAAAGGGAGTTTACTTGGATAATATCATTTTAGGGGTGTATTTCAGAAAAAAATGTAACTCAGAAATAGAAGATTTATTTACTAATTTCACTCCAAATAGCTGTACAGACAATTCCAAAAATGGTTGCAAAGACTTTTTTTAAAGCTCTGTCATTGAAATAAATGTAAGACACTCTTAAGGTGACAATTTTCTTGTGAAGTATGAAATTCCCTGTATGTTTGGAAAATTGATCCTTGTTGCTGTTGTTTTGCTATTTTGTCTTATGATCCTGATTCTCAAGAGTTTAAAGCCTAGTTGGGGATCCACAATAGACAAAATAATTAATGAATACAAACAAATGCATTAAAAGGTACTTAATAAAATGTCCTTGGAAGTAGGTGGCAATGCCTTAATAGTTGTCAGGCCCAAGGGCCCCTTCCATTCTTGTCAAGGGGAGTGCTAGCCTTCTCTCCTTGCATAGCACACAAAAAAATGTCCTTGGGAAGAGATAATTCTCACCAAGAAAAGAGAGAGTATTTTCTATATTTGAGGAATATCCAATACTATTAAATTCTTTATAACTAAGTCAAATTGGAAAACATGTAGTTATTGGCAGGAAGAAATGCTTAAGGATAGAGTCATTTGATGACTCTTGAAAGAAACAGAATGACAAAGGAAAAAAAGGACCTATTAAAATTCTTTAAATTTCCAAAATTCAATGACAATACAAATGTTTAGACAAGTTACACCTGTGCTTGATTTTAGGTTCATATTTTATATGTCAAACAGGTGTAATAATGTCTTGTTAAATGTAGCAAAGTTAATAATAAATTGCGTTCACTGTGAACAAATAAATAGGCAGTGACTTTAATAACTACTATAAAAATAGCTTAGGAAGTAGTGGGTTGGAAAAAAAATTATAAGTTAATACAGTATTAGAGTAACATTAACAGAATCTTTCAGAGTGTGAGAAAATGTGTTCACAGGTGGTTATCAGTGGTTAAGCTAATCAAGAAAGAAACTCAGTAGAACTTTTAGTCCAAGGACATTCCCTTATCAAGATTTTTATTTAGGAGCTCTCACATAAGTCATTCTGAGAATTACAAAATATGTCTTCATGAGATGCACTTCTCAATGGAATACAAAATAAACCATATGATAAAATATCCTATAATTCTACAATGGTATTCAGTGTGGGGTAATGTGATGCAAAAATGAGTAGATCATAACTTGGAAATTACCTGATGAAAGTGTTGTGTAGGTAAAATACAAAACATCTTTTTGCCACACCATGTCCCTCCTCATGGTAGATCCTATGAAATACCCCGAATTGTGTCCACAGAAATATCACCTTCAATTGTACTGTGGGCCTATAAGAGAGCTGGGTATCTGTCAACAGTAATCATGATATAAAAAGAAAGTATGAGTGCATATTTATGTGTGGGTGATTGTTTATCTATTTGGGATGAAACTGTGACTAAATTTTGTGTCCACTGAAAATTGACCTACACTTTTCTCCCTGCCTTTTCATGTGGCTAAAAGATAGCAGCAGTTTAATTCATCCCCCTGACATTTTCTCAAACATATTTCTAGTGATCTAGGTAATGTATTCTAGCCAATGTATCTTACTTGACCTATCAGGAGTATTTGACACACTTAATCACTTCTTATTCATTGAAACACTTCTGTCTTGGCTTCCAGGACATCACACTTATCATTTCCCCCTTCACATCACTGAATTCTCCTTTGCCTTTTTCCAGCTATTTTTCATCCCTTTGACCTCCAACCATCAAAGTGCCCCAAGGATGAGTCCATTGATCTTTGCTTTATCTACAATCCCTCTGTTGGTGATCTTATTCAGTCTAAAAATTTAAATACTAACTATGCCAAACACTCCCAAATTTAGACCTCCTGCCCACTTTTCTCTCAAACTGTAATCTTCTATTTCCAACTCCCTCTTCAGGATCTTCACTTTAATATCAAATAGGTAACTCAAATGCAACATGTCCCAAACTGTACTCCTGTATCTCAGTCCCAACCTACATTCTACAATCTTCTCCATTTGGTAAGTGTGATGCCATCTTTCTGGTTGCTGAGACAGGACCACTAGAATCAGTGATGGTTCTTCTTTTCCTCTCAAGTCCCAAATTCAATCTCATCAAATCCTGTTGATTCTATTTTCAAAATATGTCCAGAACTGACTCTTTTCTTCACTTCCCAGGTGCTGATACCACCCAGTTCCAAAGCATCGTCATCTTTCACCTGGATTAAATCTGTAGCCTTGTGACTGGTTTCCCCGCTCCAATCTTGGCCACAGTCCTTCCACCCCTTACCAATCTGTTCTCAACCCAGTGGCCAGAGAGATTCTTTTAAGCCTAAGTCACGGCACGAAACTCTTTCCAAATCTCTTCTCGTCTTTCCTAGATTAAAATCACTCTGCAATAAGGGAAAGAGATGGAATTAGAGAGGAAATGAAGCTGGAGCCTATCATGAGGGCTCTGAAGGCCTTCTTGAGAGCTTGGGATTCTTCTGTGGGAGAGAGGGGAGACTTGAAATGTTTTGAGCAGACTATTTTATGTCACATGGTGATAAGAGCTCCAAGGAAAAATAAAGCAGAGAAGTGGGGAGGAGTACTGGTGTGAGAAGTGATGGCAAAAACCGCATTTATTTTTGCACCAACCTAGTAATATTAAACAGACTGGGTCAGGAAAAGCCTAAAACCCAGAAGGGAGCAAGTTGTATGAATATCTGGGGGTGTGTTATTCTAAGAAGAAGAAATAGTAAATGTAAAGGAAGACCCTAATTTAGGAGTATAGCTTACTTATTCAAAGAAATTTTACTTCACAGGATATGCATTTAATAACAACTTATTGAATAAATGATTAGATAACTCAATTTAGATGTAATTATATATATTGACTCAAACTTTAAAATTATTTTCAGTGGTCTGATTCCATAATTAATACAGTCCCCATAAATTTCACAATCTACTGGCTTTCACTTTTCACATGGCACTAGCTAAAGAGAACAGAAGATGCTGTGAGTACTCATTAAAAAAATCCTTTTGTGACAGCTCCACTCTTCCCAGTCTGGGTAAGGTATCCCTGTGCTATTATTCTTTATTACGCTTATCTTAACCCTCATTATACTGGATGTACTTGTGTCTAACCCCACTATTGAGATTTTAGAGGTTAATGGATAAATTCTTCCTTGTCTAAGAAAGGTAGATAGACACAGGAATTGAACACATAGAGATTTTAAGATGTTAGTTTTATTATTGACTTATTAAAAGAAGAAAAAGTTTGGAATAAAGATGTATGACCAAATAATCATGATAATATACATCATTGAGTTAGATATCTAATACTCACCTTACTAGTTGTCACAGCTGGACTAACATTGGCCTTCTCTGATCCGTGGAAAATGCCCCTTTTACCGCGTAACAGAAAGCAGATATGAGCACTTGCTTCCTGTAAGCAGAAAGATTCCAAATCTGAGTACTTCCACAGGGGTGAAGCCATGCATGCCTAGTACTCAATCCTAAATTCTCCATCAGATAAAACATTTAACCTTCTCTGGGGAGGATTGGTAAAGAGGCAGAGAACACTCAAGATTGATGATTTTCCTCTACTTGGAAACAAGATTGATCCATAAAGACTCAACACTCAAGGATGCCTGTCTGTCATGTTCTCTAATTCTCAGTGCTTAAGAAAGTGCCTGGTGTATAGAAAGTTAAAAACAATATTGGATTAAATAAGTAGTTAAAGATCATGGTAAAAATCTAATGTTATCCTTGCCTCACACCCTAAAAACTAAACCCGTCAAAAGTATCCAGAAGAGGCAGGTTAGATGGAATATATGCTTAAGGTTCTTGCTTAGTTTCCACAGCATCCTGCTAATACTGCCAATACTTATCTTTATGTCTAGTTTAAAATTAATCACCAAGATAGTATTTCTCATTCATCTAGGAAAACTACACAGTGAAAACAATATTAAGAACCACTGTCTTGTTTTGGATAAATAGGAGCCAAGGACTGGCCAGAGGGTACGGAATGGGTGATCCGAGTGATCCAACACAGTGTAGATGAAAGGAACATGTACCACCCAACTGAGGTATCACTCCAAAGAAAAGAGGCAGAGACACAAAAATCCAATTTATTTTTATTTTTATTTGTAAAGGCTACATAATAGGTATATATATTTATGGAATATCAAATATGAGATATTTTGATACAAGCATACAATGCATAATAATCACATGAGGGTAAATGGGGTATCCATCACCTCAAGCATTTATCCTTTCTTTGTGTTACAGACAATCAAATTATACTTTTTTAGTTATTTTTAATTGTATCATAAATTGTTGACTGTAGTCACCCTGTTGTTCTATCAAATATTAGATCTTATTCATTCTATTTTTTTGTACCCATTAACCATTCCCCAACCTTCACCACCCTTCATAACCTCTGGTAAACATCATTCTACTGTCTATCTCTGTGAGTTCAATTATTTTAATTTTTAGATCTCACAAATAAGTAAGAATATGTGAAGCTTGTCTTTCTGTGCCTGGCTTATTTCACTTAACCAAATGAACTCCACTACCACCCATGCAGTTTTGAATGAAGGATATCATTTATTATGACTAAATAGTACTCCATTGTGTACATTTTACACATTTTACATTGTGTACATGTACTACATTTCTTTATTCATTTATGTGTTGTTGGAAACTTAGGTTGCTTCTAATTCTTGGCTATTGCGAATCATGCTGCAATAAACATGGAAGTGCAGAAATCTCTTCAATACAGATTTTCTTTTTGGAGGGCATATACTTAGCAGTGACATTACTGGATTATATGGTAGTTCTATTTTTAGTTTTTGCAGGAAGCTCCAAATTATTCTCCATAGTGATTGTAATAATTTATATTCCCGCCAACGGTGTACAAAGGTTCCTTTTCTTCACATGCCAACCAGCATTTATTATTACCTTTCTCTTGAATAAAAGCTATTTTAATTGGGGTAAGGTGATATCTCGTTATAGTTTTGATTTTCATTTCTCTGACAATCAGTTATATTGAGCACCTTATAATGTACCTGTTTGCCATCTATGTCTTCTTTTAATAAATGTCTACCCAGATCTTTTGCCCATTTTTGAATCATATTATTAGATTTGTTCCTACAGAGTTGTTTGAGCTCCTTACTTATTCTGGGTTTTAATACCTTGTTAAATGGATAGTGTGCAAATATTTTCTTCCATTTTTTGGGTTGTGTCTTCACCCCGTTGTTTCCTTTGCTGTGCTGAAGGTTTTTGACTTGATGTGATCCCATTTGTTCATTTTTGCTTTTCTTGTCTGTGTTCATGATATCTTACTCAATAAATCTTCACCCAGTCCATTGTCTTGGAGAGTTTCCCCAGAGTTTTATTTTATTAATTTTATAGTTAGAGGTCTTAAGTGTAAGTCTTCAGTCCATTTTGATTTGATTTTTACATATAGTGAGAAATAGGGGTGTAGTTTCATTCTTCTGCCTGTGGACATCCAGTTTTCCCAGCATCATTTATTAAAAGGCTGTCCTTTCCCCAAAGTATGTCCTTGGCACCCCTGTCAAAAATGAAATCACTGTAGATGTATGAATTTATTTCTGGATTCTATTGTATTCCATTGGTCTATGTGCATGTTTTCATGACAGTACCATGATGTTTTGGTTACAATAGCTCTGTACTATAATTTGAAGTCAGGTAATGTAATTCCTCCAGTTTTGTTTTTTTTGCTCAGGATAACTTTGGCTATTCTGGATCTTTTGTGGTTCCATATAAATTTTAGAATTGTTTTTTATTTCAATGTCTGTGAAGAATATCATGGTGTTTTAATAGAAATCACATTGAATCTGTAGGTTGCTTTGGTTAGTATAGATATTTTAATTATATTGATTCTTCTAATCCATGAACATGGGATATCTTTCCATTTATTTGTCTTTCCTTCAATTTCTTTCATCAGTGTTTCACAGCTTTTACTGTAGACATCTTTCACTTATTTGGTTAATTATTAGGTATTTTATTTTATTTCTAGCCATTTCAAATGAGATTTTTCCTTGATTTTTTTTTACTTTTTTAAAATTTTATTTATTTATTTATTTTTTAGATGGAGTCTCACTCTGTCACCCAGGCTGGAGGGCAGAGTGCAGTGGCGCCATCTCGGCTCACTGCAACCTCCACCCCCTGGGTTCCAGGGATTCTCCTGCCTCAGTCTCCTGAGTAGTTGTGATTGTGATTACAGGCATGTACCACCATGCCTGGCTAATTTTTTTTTTTGTATTTTTGGTAGAGATGGGGTTTCACTATGTTGACCAGGCTGGTCTTGAACTCTTGGCCTCAGGTGATCTACTGGTCTCGGACTCCCACATCCCTTAATTTCTTTTTCAGATTGTTTGCTGTTGGCATATGGAAATGCTACTGATTTTTGCATGTTGATTTTGTATCCTGCAATTTTACTGAATTTTTTTTAGAGTTCTAACTTTTTTTGGTGGAATCTTTAGGTTTTTCTAAACATAAGATTATCTCATCTGGAAAGAAGAATAATATGACTTCTTTCCTTCCTATTTGGATGCCCTATATTTCTTGTCTGATTACTGTAGCTAGGACTTCAGTACTATGTTGAATAACATTGGTAAAAGTGGGCATTCTCCTCTTATTCCAGATCTTAAAGTGAAGGCTTTCAGTATTTCCCCATTCACTGATACAAGATATGGGTCTGTCATATATGGCTTTTATTGTGTTTAGGTATGTTCCTTCTATACCCAGTTTTTTATGGTTTTTTTTTTATCATGATGGGATGTTGAATTTCATTAATTAGGTCTTCAGCATCAATTGAAATGACCATGTGATTTTTGTCCTTCATTTCATTGATATGATATATCACATTGATTGTTTTGCATATATTGAAGTATCCTTGCATCCCTAGAAAAATTCTGCTTGGTAATAATTATGGTTAATGTAATGTGTTGTTGAGTGTGGCTTGCTAGAAATTTGTGGAGGATTTTTGCATCAATGGCCTTCAGGGATATTGGCCAGTAGCTTTTTTTTTTTTTAATATGTTTTGTCTGCTTTTGGTATTATTATAATGCTGGCCTCATAGAACGAGTTTGGAAGTATTTTCTCCTCCACTTTTTTTCGGTGGGGGGTGGGGAGAATAGTTTCAGTAGCACTGTTATTAGTTCTTCTTAAAATGTTTGTAAAAATTAACAGTAAAGTCATGGGGTTCTGGGTTTTTCTTTGCTGGCAGATGTTTCTTTACAGCTTCAGTTTCATTACCTGTTACTAGTTTGTTTAGGTTTTGGATTTCTTCATGGTTCAATCTAGCTGGGCTGCATGTGTCTAGAAATTTATTCATTTCTTCTATATTTTCCAATTTACTGGCATATGGTTGTTCCTAGTCATCTTTGAATTTGTGCATTATCAGTCATATTATCTCCCCTTTTTCATCTCTGATTTTATTTATTTGGATCTTCTCTCTTATTTTCTTAGTCTGGCTAAAGGTTTGTAGATTTTGTTTATCATTTTAAAAACCCAATTTTTCATTCTGTTGATCTTTTGGGTTGTTTTCTTCATTTAAATTTCATTTATTTCTGATAAATAAAATTTATTATTTATTATTTTTTTCTCCTACTGATTTTGGGTACACTTCATTCTTGCTTTTCTAATTTTTTAAAATGTATCATTAGGTTGTTGATTTGAAATTTTTCTACTTTTTTGATGTAGACACTTATTGCCATGAACCTTCCTCTTAGTAAAACTTTCCCTGTGTCCCATAGGTTTTTGCATGTTGTGTTCCATTAGCATTTGCTTCGTGAAAATTTTCAATTTCCTTCTTAATTTCTTCATTAACCCACTGGTTATTTGGAGACATATTGTTTAGTTTTCAACTGTTTGTATAGCTCCCAACATTTTTCTTGTTATTGATTTGTAGTTTTATTCCATTGTGGTCAAAGAAGATACTTGAAATAATTTGAATTTTTTTGAATTTTTTAAAACTTGTTTTGCAGCCTAACGTATGATCTATGCTTGAGAATTACATGCTGAGGAGAAGAATATGCATTCTTCTGTAATTGGATAAAAGGTTCTGTAAATAAATATTAAGTTTATTTGTTCTATAGTGCAGCTTACATCCAACATTTATTGAATTTATGCCTATGTAATTTGTCCAATGCTGAAAGTGAGGTGTTTATGTCTCCGATTATTATTGTATTGGGATCTACCTCTCTTCTTAGCTCTAATATCTGCTTTATATGCAGGGTGCCCCAGTGTTGGTTCCATATATCTTTAAAGTTGTTGAATCTTCTTGCTGAATTCAACCCTTTATTATTGTACAATGACCTTCTTTGTCTCTTTTTATAGTTTTTGTCTTGAAATCTATTTTGTCTGATATAAGTATATATTCTTTTGCTTTTTTAAAATTTCCATTTGCATGGAATATCTTCTAACCCTTTATTTTTTCAATCTCTGTGTGTCTTTATAGGTGAAATGTGTTTCTGTTTGGGTAACAGAGCTTTAGGCCTTGTTTTCTTATTGACTTAGCCACTCTTTGTGTTTTAATTGGAGAGTTTAACCCATTTACGCTCAGTAATATTATTGATAAGTAAGGACTTACTCCTGTCATTTTGTTATGTGTTTTGTGGTTGTTTTGTGCTCTCTCCCTTCTTCTCTTCCTTTTAGTAAAGAATATTTTCTCTGGTGGTATATTTTCATTTCTTGCCTTTTGTTTTTTGTGTATCTTTTGTAGATTTTTTTAAAATTTGTAGTTACTATGAAATTTGCAAATACTATCTTAAAACCCATTATTTTAAACTGATAACATTTATTGCATAAACAAACTAACAAGCAAAGAGAAAGATAATAAACACTACATTTTATCTTTATTCTCCCACTTTTAAACTGTTTGTTTTATCTATTTATACCTTATTGTACTGTTTATGTTTTGAGAAGTTTTGTAGTTATTTTTTACTGGTTCATCTTTTGGTCTTTCCACTCAAGATATGAATAGTTTATACATCACAATTACAGTGTTTTAATATTCTGTGTTATTCTGTGTACTTACTATTACCAGTGAGTTTTGCACCTTCAGTTGATTTCTTATTGCTCATTAACTTTCTTTTCTAACTTCCTTTAGCATTTCTTGTAAGACAGGTCTGGTGTTATCTCTCAGCTTTTGTTTGTCTGAGAAAGTCTTCTCCTTCATGTTTATATAAGTTTTTGCTTTTATATAAGTAAAAAAGAGTGAAACACACCTAGAAGATTTAGAAAATTTATTTTCTTTTGTCTCATCTGACTGTGTATTTTCAAATAGGCTGTCTTCAAGTTCACCAATTCTTTCTTTTGCTTGACCTATTCTGTTGTTAAAAGATCCTGATGCATTCTTCAGTATGTCAGTTGAATTTTTCAACTCCAGAATTTCTCCTTCTTTTTTAATTATTTCAATCTCTTGGTTAAATTTATCTGATAGCATTCTGAATTCCTTCTCTGTGTTATCTTGAATTTTGTTGAGTTTCCTCAAACCAAGTAGCTTGATTTCTCTCTGAAATATCACATATTCTGTGCCCTATAGGGTTAGTCACTGGTGCCTTATTTACTTTGTTTAGGCCATTTCCTGGATGGTCTTGTTGCCTGTTGATGTTTGTCAGCGTCTGGGCAATTGAAGAATTATGTAGTTATTGTAGGTTTCACAGTCTAGGCTTGTTTGTACCTATGTTTTTTAGGGAAGGCCTTCCAGGTATTCAAAGGGACTTGGATGTTGTTATCTAAGTTTTTGCTCACTGCCATCTTATCTGCATTAGGGAACATCCCAAGCCCAGTAACATTGTGGATCTTGCAGACTCGTTGAGGTACTATCTTGATAGTCTTATTAGATAATATATGGAAAAATTATTTGTATTACCACACAGAGTCTCTTACTCTCTTCCCTTTCTTTTCTCCAAATAAATGGATTCTCTCCCTGTCTCTGTGCTGAGCTACCTGGAGCTTGGGATGGCATAACACACTCCTGTGGCCGCCACCAAAAGCCAGCACAGCACTGTGTCTCACCAAAACCTGTTTTAACAACTGCATTGCCACTGCCTCCATTTACTTAAGGGCTAGGGCTCTACAATTAGCAAGTGACAAATCCAGCCAGGCTTGTATCTTTCCCTTCAGAGTGGCAAGGACTCCCCAGTCCCAGGTAGATCCTGAGATGCCGTCTTCTAGGTGGGGCATGATGGCAAAAACTTTAGGAATCTTTCTGATGCCCTATTCTACTGCAGCTGAGCTGGCACCCAAGCTGGAAGACAAAATCCTCCTCATTATTTCCTCCTCTTTACACAAGTAGAGGAGTGTCTCCCTGTGGCCACCAATGCCCCAGAACCACAGCAAGTACTGCCTGGATATTGCTAATGTTCATTCAATGCCCCAGTCAGACTCTGGTGAATGCTGCCAGGTCTGGGACTCTCTCTTTAGGTCAGTTGGCTCCCCACTGGTGCAGGGTAAGTCTGGAAGTGCCATCCAAGAGCCAAAGCCTGAAATCGGAGATGCTAAGAGCCCAGTTGGTGCTCTATCCCACTGTGGCCAACCTGGTACCCAAGCTGCAAGACAGTGTCCTCTTTATCCCTTTACTCTTCTCTCTCTTTTTCTTAAGCAGAAGTGCTGGGTCAGACCTGAAGCCAATATTTCTCTCAGTCTCACCCAAGATCCACAGTGAGTACTTCCTGGGTACCACTATTGTTTATTCAGGGCCTAAGGGCTCTTTAGTCAGCAGGTGATAAACTGTCCCAGGACTGGGTTCTTCTCTTCAAACAGGCAGGTTCTCATTTCACCCAGGGTATATTGAGAAATGTTGTCCAGGAACTAAAGCCTAGAATGGGGACTGCCTAACTCTGCCTGGTGCCCTATCCTGCTGTGGCTGAGCTGGTATTTAAGTTGTACGACAAAGTCCCCTTTACTCTTTCCTCTCCTTTCCTCAAGTGGATGGGAGGTGTCTTTCCCAGAGCTGTGAGCTCAACTGCTTGGAGCTGGGGGAAGGATGGTGCAAATGCTCTCTTGGCTACTCCAGGAGGTGTCTCAATAAGTTGCATGCCCCACAAGTCTACTGACTCTGGGCCCAGAACAGCACAAAGACCTCTCCAGGAATTACAATTATTATGGCCTTGACTGCCTTTCATGTTTATTTAGGACCTCAGAGCCCTTTAGCCCATGGTAGCAAGGCTTACCAAAACTCAATTTCCAACTAGTGGGATAGACGATTCCCCTCTGACTAGGGCTGGTCTAAGTGCTCCTTCTGTGGGCACTGGCTGAGTCATGCTTGGTGTTGTTTTCTGCTGTGACAGGGCAGTACTGAATTCCAAAGCAAAGTCCCACAATCACTGCATTCTCCTTCCCCCAAGTGTACAGCTTTTCCATGCCAGGCAGCCAGTGCCAGGGAATGGGGGTGGAGTGGTATCAGCAATTCAAGACCATTTTTCCTACTCTTTGCAGTGTCTCTTTTTAAATATCTGTTTAAAATCTAATTTTTGGTTCTTTTAAGGTACTGTTTCTGTGTTCAATTTGGTGATCTTAGGAGAGGAGATGATGGAGGAGGCTTCTATTCAGTCATCATGCTTTGCCTCCAAAAATCCAATTTTAATACATTGTAAAAGATAGGAATACTAGACCAGAGCACAGGAGAGTAGGCAAGAAGAATAGGAGATAATGCCTGGAGAGATTCCCATTCAAATAATACAGGAGGTTAACATTTGTGCTTTTGATACTCCAGATTTCTACAACCATAAATAGCAAAGATTTAGATCCATATTCACTTGCTCCCCCATTGGAAGAGATTAACAAAAAGAAGGTCCACAAAGAAGCACTTGTTGTTTCAATTGATATGATTACTGACACACTGGGAATCATTTTACATTTATGTAAATCCCTACTCCCATTTGGCAGAGGTCATGCTCATGCTTTTTTGAGTTTTATATTTAGTTTTTAGCATGTCTGTATCTAAGCATATTTAGAAATAATTAAATAATTACACTATCTTCTTATCCTTAAATTTATTGATTTTTTTTATTGGTTGTGTCCAATCAGATATTAATATTGTTGATTATATTTGATTTTTTTTTCTGAATCCTTCCTGGAATTTCCCCTAACTTTACTTGATTATTTTCCTGTGGTTTCATTAACATATTGATCACAGTTAGTTTAAATCTCTTCACTGATATTTTCAACATCTTGATTATCTGTCCCTTCTTCCATTGACATTTTTCTAATTTTTGCAGTTTTTGTATTTTTTATTGAATTCTGAGAAGTGTGTTTGAAAGAACAACAGAGGGCTATGATAAGCAGACTTCTGAGATGGCCCCTAATTAACTCTAATTTTTGGCATCGCTGACCTTCTGTAATGGCCTCCCCTTGAGTGTGAGCTAGACTTAGTGGCTTGCTTCTAACCAACAGAATATGTGAAGGTGATGAGATAGCACTTCCATGATTAGTTGACAAAAGAGTGTGACTTCCATCTTGATAGCTGACTGTCCCTATTACCTTCTTGTCTTGCACACTTTGATGAAGCAAGCCACCATTTGAGAAAGGCCCATGTGACAAGGAACTAAGAGTGGCCTCTGGCCAACAGGCAATAAGGAACTGTGTCCCTCAGGTAAACAACATTAAAAAAAATCGAAGTTGTCAACAATCATTGAATAAGCTTGGAAAAGATCCTTCCCAGATGACCCTTTAGATAAGATAGCAAGATCTTCGGCCTTCGTTATAAACTGTGGGAAATTGTAAAGCAAATGGAGAAGCTAAGCCACAGAATCTGTGCAATTATAAGTATGTTTTTGTGGCAATTTGTTGTACAGCAATAAATAACTAATGAGAGGTCTTTACTTTGTGAGGAAGCTACAGTAAAATTGTGATTAGTTTATTTCAATAAGATTTTGAATAAGTTCAGAGAGAGGCTGAAACTTTAGTCTTTCTAGCAGGGCAGAAGAATTTAAGTACCAGGAGATTAAAGAAATATCTCTTTGCTTTTCCACCTAGCTTCCAACTTTCTACATAGTCACAAGGTGCTGATATATTTGATCTCACCAGAGGTTAAAATGCGTTGTAGCTTTCATTATTTTGCCTCTGGATTCAAACGTTTTGAAGGTGAGTTCAAGTCTCTTCCTAAGATAGGACCTTGGAACCAAACACCATTAGACTTCCAGACCTCCAAATTGTGGAGAGTTTGAAAATGGCAGACATTGATACCATGAGAACATGGGGCTGAAAACCTTAGGACTGCAGGGCCATGAGATTTGGAAATTGTGAGATTCAGAGATCATGAGATCTCTTTCCAATTTCTAGTGCTGCTTTCAACTTCTACTTACTCAGCAAAATTCTCATATGAAACAGTTACTTCAGGAAGAGAATTCTTTTGGTGCTGGGCAATGTTATAGACTCAAATTCAACATTCCAGCACAACAGTTCATCAAAAGTTTGGCTGGTTTCTCCTTCTCTGGACAAAGTCCTGATCTGTAAGCTGTAGCTCCCCTTTCCCCAACACCAACAGGTGGGTTCAAATATTAAAGCATCTTCTGTTACTTGTTCAACTGGAAAAGTTTGTCCCTGTGGAGTTTAGATGTTTTAGATTTATTTGTGTACATAAGTCTTCAGTGAAATTTTTAACTGTATGATTTTTTGGTTAATCCTTTTACTTTTTTTGCTCTTTCAGCCAGAATAAAGGCCTTTCATATTCTTCCACACAATATTCAAAAGTAAGTCACCTTGATGTTCATTTGTGAATTTATAAATTCGCTACTTAAAATAAGTTCATTGTTTTTATCTATATAAAACTACCTATTCCATTCATAATTGAAGTGAATATTCAGAACGTCTAAGTTGAAATCTCTTAAATGTAATATATTCACATGTTGCTGCAATACATGTGAGTAAAATTGTTTAGCTCAAGCTTTGTATTATTTTAGCCTACATAAGAGCAAAATAAAATTTATTTTTTCATTATTTAACAATCCTTAGACAATCCAGCCAAGTGTTAATTTGAACACGGAGGAAGATCAATAAATATATTTTTTCTGATTAATTGATCTCATCTCTTTGTATAGCAGAACTAAATGCTACTATAGAATCTAATTTCAGAATTTTAAATAAAGTACATTATATTATCAAATAAAATTGATATCCTTAAGATTTCACTACAATATCATGAAACCAGTGTATAACAAATTTAAGATGCATTTTAAATGATTTTCTTAAGATCAAATATATTGATAAACAAGAAAATATTTATTTACTTATTTATTTATTGAGAAGTGAAAAGGTTGATCACTATTTGGAAAAATATACTCATATTTTCCTTCTTTAATAGTTTAATCCTCTTTGATTTGATATAGTTATGGTGAACCTTCTTCTAAAGTGTAAGTTTAATGGTGACTTTTTTTCTTAAAGATCATAGGAAAGGTCATTATGTAACTTAAATTGGAAAGCCATATTTTAATTTAAAACTGAATAATTAAATTCCAGTAGTAGTTAGTGTTCACAAGAAATAATCTCCAATAAAATATTAAAATATATCATTGCTGTTTGTCTGTATTCAAGATAATCAAAAGTATTATTCTGAAAATTCTAAACAAGACAGAAATACCCTTCTCCAATTACCAGATAATTATTCTTATTTGTTAGGTAAATGGTGTATTTACATCTTTTTGTTATAATCTTTCAACAAGTGAAATAACTCATTAAGACTTTATATTAATCAGAATACTCAGATATAGAAAATACAAATACTGTTGTCTTCTTGCATGCATTTTTTCCATAATGAAACTCAAATAGACAGCACCATATGTTTACTTAGTTATATAGGTAGTATGAGAAGAGGAAATAGCTGTGTTGGGCACAAGTTAGTATTATAAATGAAGATAGTTGAGAGTTAGCCTATGTGGCAATTTTATAAAATAGTCTATAAAACTTTCTACTTAGAAAGAATGGTCCATTATTTCTGGGCATCAGATTAAGAGCAAACTTTGTGCTCTTTACTCCTTAATCTTCTCCAAAGTTTAAGGAATATTTTCATACTTAGTTTTTCTGTACTCAAAAAGCACTTTTATTCTCACATATCGGGATTCAATACCTGGATAATTTTAGCCTTTTGATTACTATTGTTGTAGGCAAAAGAGCACTTTACAGTTTTTTTTTCCTTTCTTTCTTTCTTTCTTTTTTAAAATCTGGTACTAAAACTTCAACTTAATTTATTTCAAACTGAAAGTTAAACTCAGATTGACTTTGGAAAAACCTTCTAACATCTTAAAAATGAAGAAACATTACATTGATCACAAAATAAATATTAAAATTTTATTGATAGATCAACAATTTAATTTATAAAACATTCAAGGCCTATGACTTTTCTACAAAGTTAATCAGTGAAGAGAAAATGGAAAGCCAGAATATATGTCTGGATATCACAATACTAAGAGCAATAAAATGTTTTCAATTGCCTCAGCATACATAACATTTTTATTTAAAATGAAGTCCTATAACCCAGAGTGCAGAATATTTAAACTCTGCTGCAATGAATTGATTGTCTTGATATAGAAAACTACTGCATCCACAGTGATTAAGATGGAATACGTTAATGAAGTAAGAGGGCATTTTTCAGTCAAAGTTGGTGGTGTTCTTGGATGTACTGTCTTTCCTTCTTTACCTTTTCTCTGCTATGTTTATCCTCTCCGAGCTGCTCTCATGTGTAAAGGCTCTGGAATTCCTGAAAAAATGATACACTAGCTTCATTCTCTACTAGTATAGTTTAAACAAGATGAGCTCATGTTAAACAAAAAGGGCAGCCACTAAGGGATTTAAAATGTACAAGTTGGTCATCTGAGAGGGTTTTGTACTTATGATAAGGGAGGAGACCACCCCTCATATTGTCTTATGCCCAATTTCTGCCTCCAAAGAAAGAAAAAGTAAAAACTAAAAGGCAGAAATGAAATCCACAAGCAGACAGCCCGGCGCCACACCCTGGGCCTGGTAGTTAAAGATCGACCCCTGACCTAATCGGTTATGTTATCTATAGATTACAGACATTGTATAGAAAAGCACTGTGAAAATCCCTATCCTGTTTTGTTCCGATCTAATTACCGGTGCATGCAGCCCCCAGTCATGTACCCCCTGCTTGCTCAATCGATCAAGACCCTCTCACGCACACCCTCTTAGAGTTGTGAGCTCTAAAAAGGGACAGGAATTGCTCACTCAGGGAGCTCAGCTCTTGAGACAGGAGTCTTGCCGATGCCCCCGGCCGAATAAACCCCTTCCTTCTTTAACTCGGTGTCTGAGGAGTTTTGTCTGCGGCTTGTCCTGCTACAATGAGACTTGTATATAGCTTTATGCTATTAAATGAGTATAGCATAAGTTTTATGCCTCAATTAGCATCTTTGAAGCTCTCTGTTCGTCTCCCCTCTAGTGGGTAGATCCTTTCTCTATTGCATACTTTTATGTCAGTGTGGTTTAATTTCAGCTAAATCCTACAGAAGCATATTGAATACTCACTGTGTGCTACAGCCACGAAGATGAACATGACATTGCCTTGCCTCAAAAATACTTAATATTTAGCAGGCCATTAAATATTATATATTCAAGGAATACTTCAAAGCAGATTCAAAAACTATAGCAATTCATCAAGAGGGAGCCTCTTCCTCTTGTAGGTACAAAAATCTTAGACCTTACTCAATAAACATGCTGAAGAAAACTACTATAAAATCTGGACATATTGCAAACAGCAACTCCCTGAAGGTGCTGGAGATTGAGCAGAAACAGATTCTGCACAGACTAACCTGAGGAAGAAAGACAGAAGCTGGACAGGGAAGTAACAGTCCCCACAGCTTTTAACCTTGAACTAATTTCAGTCCACACCTCTCATACAGTAGTAATAAAGACATGTGTACCAAAAGCCCACAGTCTTTCTGGCCTGGGGAACCAGAATACTGAAGCAGAGAAACCACAAATGCTGCAGAGAGTCGGGGAATAGCCAAAGGGAAAGAGTCATAGAGGGAATCCCTAAAGTTTTCTCACATCTCTGACTAATTCCTGAATCATGCATTTACAGAACAGACTAAAAACGATTCACTTAAAGACCATAGGCCTAAATTGAGACCAGAGAGCTGTCCAAGAAGCAGTTTGCAACTCAATCCCATCTGAAAAAAAGTTACTTTATACAACAAAGGAAACACTCATTGGAGAAAATAACACAATACAGATCCTCCATGACTTCACATTCAGAGTGTCTAATATGCAATCCAAGATTATGTAAAATAAGAACTAAGAAGATGGAACATTTTCTCAAAAGAAAAGAAAATATTGAAACTAACTGGCATGAATTTGAAGCTACCTGTTATATCTATTCTCAGTGAAATAAAATAAAACATGATGTCTTTATAAATAAAAATATAAGCAAAGAAAAAAGAAAGATTAAGGGGACTTTCAGACAGGTGATGAAAATCATCGAAGGTGAAGAATATAGAGAAAATAATAAAGCCATAAGGACTTGTTAGATTATACAAAATTGTCAAACATACATGTAATTTTAATACCAAAATAATAGAAAGGAAACAAATCAGAAAACTAATATTTAAAGAAATAATAGTGAAAATTTTTCTAAAAGTGTTGAAAGACAGGAATTTGGAGATATAAGGTGCTAAAGGTACCCTAAATAGAAAAAACCAACCAAACAAAAAAGTCTGTGCTGAGGTACATCATAGTGAAACTGTTGAAGGACAAATATAAAGAACAAAACTTGAAAGCAGCAAATAGAAAATGACATATTATGTACAGGGTGACAACAAACCCATTACTAGCTGACTTCTCACCATAAATAGAGGTTCCCACAAAAGACTGAAACAACACCTTTGTGATGAATGTTTCGAAAAGAAAAAGAAAATAAAAAAAGGGAGGAAAACCTGCTAACCCAGAATTCGATAACTAATAAAAATATTACTTAAGAATGAGGGCAAAATAAAGATATTTTCAGAAACTCAACACCAGCAAATCTGCACTATAAGACATACTAAAGTAAATTGTGCAAACTGAAGAGAAGTGATACCAGATAGAAACTCAGATTCCAAGAAAACATTAAAGAACACAGAAAATAGTAAATACCTGCAAAATTGCAAGTTGTTTTTTATTTTACTTTTTTTTCCTTTGGTTCTTTATATACCATGTCGATGTTTAAAACAAACTTAAAACATTTTCTTGCAGTACTTGAAGATGTACTTATATATTATACATAACAACTACCTGTTATAACCAAAAGGAAGCTAAAATGGATCTACATGCTTTCAAGATTTCTATAATTGATTCTAAGTAGTATGGTGTTAATTATAAGTGGACTGTGAAAAGTTAACGATGTATGCTTTATAAAAAACAACCACTTAAAAATGCAAAAGTGCCACAAAAATGTTTATTAAAAATTTTAAATAAAATTCAAAGAATCATCCAAATTATTTTTTATTTATTTATTTTATTTTTTTTTTTTGAGATGGAGTCTCACCCTGTCGCCCAGGCTGGAATGCAGTGGTGCGATCTCGGCTCGCTGCAACCTCCGCCTCCCGTGTTCAAGCAATTCTCCTGCCCCAGCCTCTCAAGTAGCTGAGATTACAGGCGCACGCCACTACCGCCCAGCTAATTTTTGTATTTTTAGTAGAGACGGGGTTTCACTGTGTTGGTCAGGCTGGTCTCAAACTCTTGACCTCATGATCCACCCCCCTCGGCCTCCCAAAGTGCTGGGATTACAGGCGTGAGCCACTGCGCTCAGCCCAAATTATTTTTTAAAAGCAGAAAAGGAAGAACAGAGGAACAGAAAACAAAAAAGATAACCAAAAAATAAAAAGCAAAATAGTAGTCTCAAATGCAAACATGTCAATTGTTACATTAAAAGTTAATTAATTAAATATTCCAATAAAAAAAGTTTGCCAAAAAAAATTTTAAGCCAAACATTTACAGACCACTTACAAGAGATGTGCTTTAAAATATAAAGATTAGTTAGAAATAAATGAATAAATGTGAACACTGAGCATAGAGGCTAGAATGACTACATAACTATGAGAGAAAATAGATATTAAAACAAAAAAAATCATAACTGTGTGTCAGTTCATCAGAGAACAATAATAGCTGATGTGCAGATAATAACAGAAGTTTAAAATACATGATGCAAAAATTAACAAAATTTCAGGAAAAATTATACACTTCTATAATTTTATGTGAAAAAAACTCATTTCTCTAAGTAATTTATTAAATAGCTAGACAAAAATTAGCAGACATGGATCTGAACAGCACTATCAAATATCTTTCGTTGATTGATATTTATAAAAGGCTACACCTCAAAATAGAAGAATGCATATTTTTAAAATGTATATTGTTCATTTTTCAGGGTAAATTATATTTTGAGGAATTAAAAATGCCTTAATAAATGTAAAAAGTTTGAAGTCATACAATATGTTCTCTAATCCCAATGGAATTAAATTAAAATTTCCTAACAATATTGCCAGGAAAATCCCTGGTATTTGGAAATTACACAATATATTTCTCAATAAATATTTGGCTAAGAAGAAATTATAAAATTGGTGATAATAAAAATATAAAGTATCAAAATTTGTGGGGTTCTACCAGAGCAATGCTTAAAGGAAAATGTATAGCACTAAAAGTTTCTATTAGAATATAAGGATGTCTGAAATCTATGATCTAATTTTCTACTCTAAAAAAAAAAAAAAGCAAATTAAGTCCAAAGCAGGCAAAAAATTAGAGCAATAATCAATGAAATACAAAAAAATAATAAAAATCAATGAGATTAAAACTTGTTTTTGAAAAACAGTCAATATAATGAATAAATGCTTAGCCAGAGAGAATGAGGAACAAAAGAAAAAAGGAAAGAAGGAAGGATGAAAGGAAGGAACAAAAGAGAGAAGCAGAGTTAAGGCACAAATTATTAATAACAAATGAAAGAAGTAACATCATTACAGAGCCTTAAGAGTTCAAAAAGATAGTAATGAAATATTATGAACAACTTTATGGCAATACATTTGACAATCTATATGAGATTAACACATTTCTTGAAAGAAATAAACTACCAAAGCTAATGTAGGAAAAACTAGAAAATGTATATTGATGCACACAAATTAAAGAAATTGAATTCATAATTAATCCACTTCCTCCTCCACATTATTTTAAAATATTTCTTCCAGCTTATAAGGCTCCATTGATTATTCTTTTTTCAAACATTTAAGAAAGAAACAATTCCAATTCTACAGCTTCAGAAAATAGAGGTCTGAACAATTCTCAACTTATTTTGTTGAGATATAACAGGAAACGAGAATGACAGACTAATAGTCCTCATGAACATAGACACAAAAGCTATAATATATTAGCAAATAAAATCCAATGAAATGTAAAAAGAATAATACATTATGACTATGTGGAAGTTTATCCTTGGAATTTAAGGTTGGTTTATATGTGAAAAATCAATCAACTTAATTCAGCATTTTAATAAAATAAAGGATAAAACCATATGACCCCTTCAATGCATGCAAGAAAATTATTTGAAAAATATTTAAACCTTTTCATTGATAACAATTCTCAGAAAACTGAGAATAGAAGAAAACTTTCTCAACCTGATTAAGAAAATCTGAAAAATCAACAACTAAGATTATCTTCAAAGCTGAAAAGATGAGTGATTCCTACTCAAGGTTAAAACAAAGAAGGTCAATTCTCACCACTTCTATTTAAAATTTTACTGAATGTTCAACTAACACATTAAAGCAAGTAAAAGAAATAGAAACCATATGGAGAGATTATAAAGGAATTATAAAACTTTTCTTATATGCACACGACATGATTGTATATGTAGAAATAAGCTAAGAAATGCATAAAAACTTTACTAATATAAATAAGTGAATGTTACACTCTTTTGGGATGCAAGATCAATATACAAAATTAGTTATATTTTTATATAGCAGTAAAAATGATTAGAAAACAAAATTTTTAAAAAGCAACATTATTTATTACAATAGCAACTGAAAATATAATTAGGGCTAAATTTGACCAAAATGTGCAAGAACATAAGTTGAAAGTATAAAATTAAAAAAAAAATGAAGTTAAGGAAGACCTTAATATACAAAGATATATACTATATTTATGAATGGAAGATTCTGTAATGGTAACATGAAAATCTTCTTCAAATTAAATTGTAGGTACAATGCAATCACAATCAGAACACTACTGGACTTTGTGAAGAAACTTGTAAGCTTATTTTAAACTTCATATGAAAATGCAAAAGACCAAGATTATTCAAAATAATTTGAGAAAATAAGAGTAAATGTTGAGCACTTACATCAACTAATTTAAAAACTTATTCTAAAAATAATCAAGCAACATGGTCTTGGTATAAGGGTGGATTAATTGATCAATGTGACAGATCGGAGAGACCAGGAATAAACCACACATACATAGTAAACTGATTTTTGACAAAGGTCCAAAGTAATTAATTAAGAAAAAATATAAGCATAGCCGTAAAATGTATGAATTTTATTATATGTAGGCAGTATTTTTAAAAGAATATGAGAGATTACACCTTGCTCAGAGGGTCAAGAGAGTTTTCATTCACAGTTGATGTACAAGATAAGGCTTCAATGATGGATAAAATGTTTATTGTGCTCTCGGAGGTAAAAAAAATTCCAATACAGAAAATCAAAATATTTCACACCAAAATACACTTCTTTGGCATATTTTGAGATTGCGGTTCAGAGGGCCTGCAAAGAGAAATAACCTGGAAAGCTGTCTTTTGTGGGTGAGATTTGCATCTGTAGCACAAATCGGCATCTGAGGCAGCCAGGATTTCTCTGAGACCTTCCGTTGGCTGAATTTAGGGAAAATTAACAGAGAGTCTGACACCTTTAAAAGTCTGAAAGAAATATTCACAACAGCAAAGACTTGGAGCCAACCCAAACGTCCATCAATGATAGACTGGATTAAGAAAATGTGGCACATATATACCATGGAATAGTATGCAGCCATAGAAAAGGATGAGTTCATGTCCTTTGCAGGGACATGGATGACACTGGAAACCATCATTCGCAGCAAACTAACATAGGAACAGAAAACCAAACACTGCATGTTCTCACTCATAAGAACAATATTCTTATGTTCCATGTATTCTTGAACAAAAAGAATACATGGACACAGGGAGGGGAACATCACACACTAGGGCCTGTTGGGGGCTGGGGGACTAGGGGAGGGATAACATTAGGAGAAATACCTAATGTAGGCGACGGGTTGATGGGTGCAGCAACTACCATGGCACATGTATGCCTGTGTAACAAAACTGCAAGTTCTGCACATGTAGCCCAGAACTTAAAGTATAATTTAGGCCGGGCGCGGTGGCTCACGCCTGTAATACCAGCACTTTGGGAGGCCGAGGCGGGCGGATCACGAGGTCAGGAGATCGAGACCATCCCGGCTAAAACGGTGAAACCCCGTCTCTACTAAAAATACAAAAAATTAGCCGGGCGTAGTGGCGGGCGCCTGTAGTCCCAGCTACTTGGGAGGCTGAGGCAGGAGAATGGCGTGAACCCGGGAGGCGGAGCTTGCAGTGAGCCGAGATCCCGCCACTGCACTCCAGCCTGGGCGACAGAGCGAGACTCCGTCTCAAAAAAAAAAAAAAAAGTATAATTTAAAAAAAATTTTTTTAAATAAAAAAAAAGAAATATTTACCATCTATTCTCTCTGAGGGCTGCTACCTGTGAGGTTTCATCTACAGGACAAGGCTGTCTTTGCTTGCCAGGCCTCATCTTTCTCCAACTCCCATAACCTGTTTACCAGCAGAACCTATTTGGCTACAGTCCAAGCCTCTATTCTTTCTATAACCTCAAGATGATAAATAAGCTTCTGAACCCCATGGGAAGGTTGAGGGAATTATTCTGTGGCTCTCCTCCATGTACACAGTCTCACATATTTATGCCTTTTTTTTTCAGTTAATCTCCTTTTGTGAGCTGGTTTTTCAATAAACCTCAGAGAGGAAAAAAAAAAAAAAAAAGTTTTGTGTCCCCTTTGGCCCCTACACCCATTGTAGTGACTGCACTACTTAGCACAGCATCTAATTGATATAAAAACATCAGAAATATTTATAAAGGAAAGATAGGAAAAGGAAAAGAATAGAGAGAGATAAGCCATGATCAAAAGAGGAGAGAAAGTTCAGGATGGACAATTTGTTTCAAGTTCCCAGGTCTCTGAAAAAAAGGAGTACTTGATTTGTGAAAGCATTTGGATTTTATTTAGACTATAATATAAATGTAGAGTGAAGTTTTCTCGTTTATGTTTTAAGATTATTCTGGCAGCTGGGTAAATTGTGTATATAAAGGGGGACAAAATGGACACAGGAAGAAAGAGTAGGAGGAGAATATTATCACAGTGTACATGAGAGATGTTTGGAATAGGATGGTAGCTCTGCAAATAAACAAGTGAAGAGCTATATTTTGGAAACAGATCTACAAGATTTGCTGGACTAGTGGTAAAGGAAAAGAATGAAAAAAAGGATGATACCAATACAAATCACTTGAGCAAATAGGTAAGTGGTGATGCCCTCTCCTTAGACGGAGAAAATTTTACTAAAGAAGAAGGTAACCTTATGAATTTTTAACATTTTATAATTGTCCCCTTTAGTATATATAATTTGACTTTTCACCATTCAATTTTTGTGACCTTATTTTATATAAAGGCAGACAAAGATTTATACTTAAAGATGATTTGCTCTATCACACTTCACAATCGGGTACTGAATTTTAATATTCCAAGCAGCAAGTTTCTTAAACATGAGATTTCTGATATCAAAATATAAGAGTGTTCTGGAAAAGATGTACTTTCATTAAGCATTGGGATACAAAGTTTAAGATAAATATGTTAGACAAGATGCCTAAGAGTTTTACAATGCTACATAAGCAACGATTGGCCAGCTCTGATTCCATTTTCCTAATTTCTCCAGAATCCTGACAAAAACACAGTCTGAGGGAAAAACGAATCACTTTTCAGCTGGTTTCTTGTGGTGATGTCTTGTCTGTCATGAATCACTTCATTAAAATTAAACCACTTATTGTTGTGAGAATTAAGATGACTTGAAATTAAAATTAAGCTCCATGGATGAAAAATTTTCTATGGCTTATATTTATGGGCACTGGAAATCTTGGGAGCTTGCAAGTCCACAAGATACTACAGAATTAAAACCAACAAAAACATCTCTGAAGTGACTGCCCAGATTTAAGGCTATGTGGCTGAAAGAAAATCTAAGGCAACTGGATCTTCATAATTCATTAAAGTCCAGGAAGAAGGGCTCAGAGCCTACTCCCTGCCCAAACCACACCTGCCTTTGTAGCTGACAAGCATCACCACCAGGAGGTGAATCTGTGGGTACCATGCTAAAACCGGAAGGGAATTCTCCAGAGCACGATGAGGACATTTTGCTTCAAAAACGTATGTTTTAATACTAAAATTTGATGTCCAAGAACTTCTTAGTATGTTAATACTATCATTCAAGCAAGGAAAGAAACAAGTAGAGAGATGGAAGTAGACAGATGGAAGCAGGCACTTACTTCAAACTCCTGAGTGGACACATAGATGTTTTGTAAATTTTTGTTTAGTGATGTATTCATTGAACAAAAAGCATTTAAAAGAGGATGGAAAAGATATGATTCCATGTCTTGAAATAGCTCACTTTACCAGAATATTTACAAATGATACTATACGCTATATATGTGACATGTAAGCATTATTAGCCTACTTTAAAACTACAAAGTCATCCTTTTATTAATTATTTGTAACACTCTTCTGTGGCTTTTTAATTTTTTTGCATTTACGTTTGCACATTATGTCATTATTGGTTACTACAAACTGTAAAGCTCTCTGATAAGGGGTTTAATTTTTTTTTAAAAAAACACATGATTTCAAAAACTAATCAATTACAATTTGAAATGGGTTTTGAAATAATTTGGTTTCAAGGTAAGCTATTGTTTTCCCTGGTGCCATCTGTAAATATTTATAAAATAAATTAGTTCCTTAATAAGCCCTCTGGTTCACTCCCTGACATCATTGCTACCCCAGTTGTACTGAAGAATATACCTTTCAATCCATTTTGAAAGCACTTGTTTACATGATATAATGCACTCAATTTTTCCATATGTCATTATTAAACACCCACTTCATGTCAGGCACCATATTAGGCTTTTAGAAAGAGAATATTAATAATAACTCAGTTTAAGTTATTCATTAAAGATGTGTCCAAATGATTTCTAGGCAATATTTTGTTGGTTAATTGTTAACATAATACTTTTGGTAATAATAAATTTGTATACATTTTGTAATCATTTAAAATTTTTACTTAAAAATGAAATGATGAGTATATCTGATAGTTCTTGCCTCTGGTCAGGACTTTTCAATTCATCTTAAACTCCAGACCTTTCTATGCACAACCTTTGATAATGTACAAATACAGCACCTACTCTCAGCTCAACCTAGAATTTCTCATCTTCTGTTCTTGGGCATCTCTGACTCAGCATCAAGCAGTCATGCAAATGCAATGCAAACAATGAGGAAGTTAATACCCCATGGAGCAATTGTGAATAAATGTGCCAATCTTTTGTTCCTTGGGTAGGTTTTGTGAGATGACTCCACAGAAAGCCCCAGCCTAATCAGCCCCAGATGCCCTTGCAAGGACAGCTTAGTATTTATTGAACCTTGCATGGCCTTGTCCTCCATCCTCGTTTCCCTCATCCCAGCGTCACTCTCTCCTGACTCGGGATGATTTCTCAAAATAAACTATCTCCATGTAAGCCTGTGTCACAGGCCCTGCTTTCATAGGGGAAGCCAGGGTAGGAAGTGAGTTTTCACAAAAGTCACAAATCCAGGTAGGCATGTGGCTGCAAATTCATACACCACTGCAAAAGTAGTTAAAAAAAAATAAAAAGACTTCATTATTATATTCTGTTCACAACTTACCTAATAAGACCTACATTTCTTGCTTAGCATTAAAGATTTTTAATACTCTGTACCTCAACCCTGGCCCCTTCCACTCACAGTATGCAATCTTACTCCCTTTTTGTAAACTAACCGTACTTGCTACTCAGCCAGGACCTCCAGCTAAAGGAAGGCCCCTTCTATCGCACCCACTGGTCAAGCATATCCTGCTTGGACATCTTTCTTCCCTGAACTCCCATTGCTTTCATAGCCTGCATTACCAAGTTTTTAAAAGATTGTATTGCCACAAAATCTTATCTAATAATATTGGGGATTTTTTTTTTTACTCTCTCCAATTATATTTTAGCAACTTGAAGACAGAGACACTAAATTTTGTTTTTACATTTCATAGCATAGAGAAAATTGCGGACACATAGTAGGTCTTTAATAAATGTACAGTGTTCATGGATTCTCCCTTCAGTATACTTGACAGAATCTTAAAATCTATTATAATATCAAGATGCCAGGAAAGACAGCCTAGCTTTTCCCTGAGGTCAGACTCATCACTCTCTGCTTTCAAGAATGATTAAGATTATGACCAAGTCTCACAGAAATTAGCATGCACACATGCACACAGGCACGCAAAAAGTAACTGCTAAACTTCTGCTTCATATTAAAATATCCTTATTTTTTTCAAAGGAAATTTTCAGTATGAAGAAGTCTAATTATTAGAGAAATGTAGCATTTTAACTTTCTTGGCCAGTTTGGGGTGCAGAGAAGCCTAAATTAGCTGTGAGGAAATAATGCCCAGACAAGTTGTGATGCTGTTCTTGAACTTCCTTTCTGCAGTAAACAGAACTACAGTATGCCTTAGTTCAAGCCCGTCTCACTCCCTTTCTCAATTAGTATGTAAAATTGCCCAGGGTCTGTTCATTGGATAAAATGCAGTCTTCTTGTGGGGAGCTTCAAGGTCCTTCCTGATTTTCTCTCTGAATACTTCCTCAATCTAGTCCCATAAGCCTCTACCTTTCCCAGTCTTAAGTTCCAGTCATTTGGAATTAATTGAAATTTTCTTTTAACATTGTTTTTAAACATTCTATTTCTGCTTTTTGAAATGTTTCTTCACTTGACTAACTTATTTTTGGTGTTCAACACTCAGTTTAGTTACTATTTCCTTTAGGAAGATACCTCTGATGTTTCCACTCTAGTTTTATAATGTATTGTTTTCTGCCTATCACTATAATCCTATGCATCACCTTGAACTGCATTTAGCTGTTTATCTGTATCTGTTTCATTAACCTCCAAGTTTCCTATGATCATAGATCAATTAATACTAGTATTAGTTCCTCAACATATAGTAAGAATTCAATACATGTTTAAAGAATAAATTGACACTAAAGGAGATTGAAGTAAGAGTGGGTATGTGATTAGTGTTATGAAGGAAGTAGTGAAGCAAAGCTCTTAACTATAAAAAGAAAACTGAAAAATTGGGACTAAAATGAATTGAGCAAAATAAAGAGAAACAGTGTGGGACTGAGATGGTCACATAAATCCATGACTAGTGATCCCCAAGCAGGGCTGACTGGGATGGCCTGTCAAGGAGCAAACGAGATCAGATCAGAGAGAACAGGAGAAAGAGCTCTGTACATGTGGCTTGCTGTACATGATTTACAAAATGAAACTCTTCACACTGGTAAGCACCTCTTGCATATTAATTAACTAAATGATGACTAAATTTGCATTTGGGGGCTACAGCGACAGGTACAGATGCTGTGTTCACCATTTACTTTCTGTGTGTGTTTAATCGTTCTAAATCAGTTTCCTCACCTGCAATATGAGATGAGCAATATATCTGAGTTATAATGGGGACTAATAATAGAGCATACAAGGATTTCAGGACAGATCCTAACACATCCTATTCAATAAATGGCAGCTACTGTTCTTAGTAGCAGTAGTAGTAGTTATTGCTTTCATTTTAGTGGTAGTAATAATAATCTTATCTGAAGAAGAGGAAAACCTCAAATTTTTTTGGTGGCAGCAGCAGAACTAGCTGGAGGTAAAAGTGAGAATTCCTCTACTGAGAGTCTGTTATATACCCTCCATAGGCTCTGCAGAGGTCATTTCCTCTTTTACCAGATTTGCTACTGTCAACAGTCTGAGCTACTTGAAGCACATCAAATTAGGGAGGTATTCATTATTGTGTGACTAAGAAGATGCTTGAGCCATGGTTGTCTTCACTACAAGCATTCCAATAATTGAGCATCTTCTCACCCCTTTATTTCATGATCATTTTAAGGGCACCAGAAAAAATAAAAACAGAGAAGTCACAGTGAATTGGATACAGAAATATTGTTCATTCTTCTTCTACCATGTTTTACACGTCTTTCTCAGGTGGCCTACTTGCCAGCAGCTTCGGATACCTCTAAATCCTGGAAGCTAGGCAAGTATATTTTCTAAAATGCCTGAGTAGCAAATTAATTTTAACAACACCTCCCATCTCTTCTTCTATGCAAGAGCATATGACTCAGAAACTACCCTCCCTCCTGCTGACTGCAATTCCTCTCTCATTCCAGGATAAATAGACCAATTTAGTGTCGGTAACCACTCCATTTATGCTGGGATTGCCTAGTTAAAGAGACCTATGCTTGATATCTGTAGGGGTCCAGTTAGATATTACTAGAAAACAGGATATCTTTTTCAAGTTTGATCTGCTGCAAGGGTTTATACACAAAGTAAATATCGATTGCTTTGTCAGGATTTTGCTTGCATCTCTCCTTTAATTCAAGTTTGAAGCAAAATATAATGATGAGACACAAGGCTACTGAACAATATTCAAATACCTCTCTGATGGCAAAACTCATTAAAAGCCACAGGGCTCTTGTGATGAGCCAGTGCTTTCCACATGACATCAAGACAATATGTGTATGACCTTCTCAAAAAACCTGCTGGAAATTACATCTTTTCAAAAAGCAGGGTCAGAACTATGAATCAGCCCATAGAATATGTATAAAAATCACCGGCATTTTGGTGAGCTAAGAAACAAGCTAACTGCCTGCAGCAGCATCCATTTAGTGACAAAGAAGAAAACACTAGATTTCTGTAGTGATCCATCTCTGTAACTTCTATAATCACCTAATAATCCTAACATCTAGCAAATTTCAGAAATATAGAAGGAATACATTTTATCTTCAAACTTATATAGGATATTCCTACCACTTCACTACATTATTTTAGTAAACAGTAGGAATATTTTAAGATAAATTTTAAAAGGATACCTTCTCAGTAATGCAGTTGAAGATGGTATGTATCTTCACACTGAGAGAACACTTTTTGGAACTATAATCACTACTGTACAAATTAGAGCCCAAAATAAGATAACATGTTATCAAAGGCCTATACTTATTACTCTATATAATTCATAACATAGTAGCTTTCAGGAAAATTACATGTTTCTATAAAAAAGCCAAGCCACAGTCTTTGGTTTAGATAATTCTTGTGAAGCTGCATCTTGTAAACCTAGGAATACGGAGTTTAAGAATGTCATACCTGTAAAATCAAATACTGTTCTTGATGCTATTGCCTATCCAGGATTTTAAATAATCCTCTTGTTCAAAATTTTGTTTATAGTAATAGATGTGTGTAGCAACACACTTTTTAAAAAATTATTTATTTATTTTATTTTTATTATTTTTTTGTGTGTGAGACAATGTCTCTCCCTGTCTACCCAGGCTGGAGTGGAGTGGTGCAATCTCAGCTCACTGCATCTTTTACCTCCTGGGATCAAGTGATCCTCCCACCTCAGCCTTCCGAGTAGCTGGAACTGCAGGGCGCATGCCACCATGTGTTGCTTTTTTGTTTTGTTTGAATTTTTTTATAGAAATGGGATTTCACCATGTTGTCCAGGCTTGTCTTAAATTCATGGGCCCAAGAGATCCACCCACTCAGCCTCCCAAAGTGCTGAGATTACAGGCATGATCCCAGTCTTATTTTTTTATTTTTCAATAATATCAACGTTCATTTTAGAGTCAGGGGTACATGTGTGGGTTTTTACATGAGTACTTAGTGTGATGCTGAGGTTTGGGATATAATTGAACTTGTCACTCAAAAATTGAGCATAGTACTCAATAGTTTTTCAACCCCTGTCCCCTCCACTCCTCCAGCCGTCCCCAGTGTCTACTGTTGCCATCTTTTCATCCGTAAGTACTCAATGTTTAGCTCTCACTTGTAAGAACGTGTTGTTTGGTTTTCTGTTCCTGCATTCATTTGCTTAGGATAATGGCCTTCAACTGCATACACGCAAAGAACATGATTTCATTCTTTTGTATGGCTGTATAGTATTCCATAGTGTATATGTACTGCATTTTCCTCATGTAATCTAATCTCTATTTAATTAATCATTGATAGGTACCTGGGTTGATTCCACGTCTTTGCTATTGTGAATAGTCTTGCAATGAAGATATTAGTGTATGTGTCTTTTTGGTAGAATAATTTATTTTCATTTGGATATATACACATTAATGGGATTACTGGATTGAATGGTAGTTCTGTTTTAATTTCCTTGAGAAATCTCCAAACTGCTTTATACAGTGACTGAACTAATTAACATTCCTACCAACAGTGTATAAGTGTTCCCTTTTCTCCACAGTTGTGCCAGCATCTGTTGTTTTAACTTTCTTTATTAGAAATAAATAATGGTCATTTTTACTGATGTGATATCCCACTGGGTTTTGATTTACATTTCTCTCATGATTAGTGACGTTGAACATTTTTTCAAGTTTGTTGGCTTCTTTTGAGAAGTATCTGTTCATGTATTTTGCTGATTTTTTAATGGGGTTATTTGTTTTTGGTCTGGTGTCCAGGCTGGAGTGCACTGACATGATCTTGGCTCACCTCAACCTCGACCTCCCAGGTTCAAGTGATTTTCCCACCTCAGCCTCCTGAGCAGCTGGGACAACGATCAGATGGATGTAGGTGTGCAGCTTCCTTTCTGAGTTCTCTATTCTGTTTCATTGGTCTATGTGTCTGTTTTTGTGCCAATACCAGGTGTTTTGTTTACTGTAGCCTTATAGTATAGCTTGAAGTTGTGTCATGTGAGGCTTCTGGCTTTGTTCTTTTTGCTTAGGACTGCTTTGGCTATGTGGGCTCTTTTTTGGCTCCATATTAATTTAGAATAGTGTTTTCTAGTTCTGTGAAAAATGCTATTGATAGCTTGATAGGAATATGGTTGAATTTGTAGATTGTTTTGGGCAGTATGGTCATTTTAACAATATTGATTCTTCAATCCTTGAGCACAGAATGTTTTTCCATTTGTGTCACCTATTATTTCTTTAAGCAGTGTTTTATAGTTCTCTTTGTATAGGTCTTTCACCTCTCTGACAGAGAGTGACTTAGACAATTTTGGCTGCTATAACAAAGTCTACTTAGTTAGAAACAACTTTACATACATAAAATATCTATTCTTCAATGGTTCCTGTACATGGTTCCAAAACATACCCCAGGATTAAAATGAATTTTTCTCACATACATGCCAGTGTTTTTTCAAACCACTTTATGACATCCTACTACTTTTTTCTTTTGCCACAGCAGTTCAGTTTGAGAGGTTCTGTGAGATGTCTTTGATATGGAAGAGTTACTAAAAAAGGAAACTTAGAGCTTAGAGAAACAGGAAATTTTGCTTCTAAACATTTAAGTATAGAAATAAACACAGCTATACATTGGTGAAGACAACATACTGTTAGTATCACAATGAGATGTGGCATTTGGATTAAGTTGAAAGGAAAGTATTTCTAATTATACAACTGAATTACAGATGACAATTTGAACTGCTTAATGTAGTTTATAGATTAAAAAGTTCATAGTGACATTTTCCTTTTTCTTCTAGCCACCCTTTGATAACCCCTTTAATGGAATGTTGTGAGCCACAGGTTCAAAAGTAGTGAACGCTTAGGAGGCTTAACTTATCCTAATGACCTTTCAATGCAAAGCAAAAGGTCAACAGTTAGTGTTACATTGAGGCTGACAAAGAATGTTGCCTAAACCTGAATGACAAAAGCTTGCTACTGGAGGTCACCTCTTAATTGACTTTCCTGACATTAATGCTTGTTGTAAACCAGGAAACTCATTTTGAAGTTGCAGTCCTTTCTTCAAAGTCTTGCTTATTATAGATAACATATTTGTCATATCGGTCACTGTTTACTCAGCCTTATGAATGTTTTATAGAAACCATCAAATGTTGCTCATTCTTTCACAAGTCACATATTAAGTACAATTTCTTTAAACTCAATTGGGGTTTCAAGCTTTGTCTGTAATATGTACACGCATCTAATGAACTTTAGGTCTTTGGCATTCCTGGACATGTCTATTGTGTTAATACCCTTGGTGTGTTCATCATTTACAGAAGGCAAGGTGGAATGCAGACTGGACTGAGCAGACCAGTGTTACAGTGCCCACACTAACATACCTTATTTTTTAACTTGGCATTGTTTAGATGCTACTCTTAAATTCAGGAGATGCCTAAAAGTTTATATGCGAGCCTAGTAGACAAGAGTCCTGTTTCTCAAACTTTCTAGGTCTCATTGTTCTAATTTATAAATTTAGAATTTTTGTAAGTGATCTATAACTCTAGTTATACTGATATTGTATTTCAAACATGTTTGTTCTCTGTTACCTTTAGCTGAAATAGAACAATGTGAATATTCCATAGCCTCTGATTATTCATATTTTGTTGAATATCTGTTCTCTACCACTCCTCCAAATTTGGCAAACATGTCTTTAAAGTACTTGAGACAATCCAAAGCATATTCATCAGTCTTTTCCTCCTAGATGTCTGTCCCTTATTCCTTATAGAGGAAATATGATCTCATAACCTCAAGTTTAAAGAACCATACAATATTAAGCTAGAAGAGACTTTAAAAAGTCATATACTCCAGCAGTGCTATTCATTGGCCACTCAAATCTGTTCCACTCTTCCCAAGAGGTCTGCTAGACCTGCATTGTACAATATGAAAACCATCATTTAAATTTAAATTTAAATTAATAAAAATTAGGTAAAATTAAACTTTACTTCTTCAGTTGTACTAGCCACATTTCAAGTGCTCATAAGCTACATGTGGCTATCAGAGTCCATATTGCACAGCACAGAAATAAATTACTTCCACCATCACAGAACGTTCTATTAGACAGTGATGATGTAAACTAAGCTTTAATACTTTCATTACATTAAGCCCACCACCTCCCAGGTACTTTGATACTTTTACAATACTATTTTGTTAAAATTTTTTTTCCATATTTGTAATCAAACTCTTGAAATATCTATCCATTTATTCTTAATTTTATTTTTTAAAATTAGCCTTCTAGTCACGCGCTCTTCTGCATTTCTATCCTTTCAGATATTTAAAGAAAATTGTCATGTGCCTCATTTTCTCTTTTTTGTGTCCTCCTATATAGCTATCTCCTGTATTTTAGGTGTATGATAGAATTTGCCCTGGAAACATTATTTTAAAATCACAAAGTTTTAGTTGCATTCTTAGTCACAAATTGACAAACTTAAGTCACAGATATGTAAATACATAAACATTTACATAAAAAGAAATAATAACTTTTCCTCCTAATCCTCCCACCCATCCCCAGTGCCAGGCATAGAGTAAGCAATCAGTAAATCCTAGCTGAATTAATGCATGAATAAACTTCACCATGTTGCTCTTAATATATTAATGCTTGTTCTTGATGTGTTATCTTCTCCATGTAGTAAATTAAAAACTCTTATTATAAAAATAATATTCATCCTAGATAACCTGGTATATACATAAGAAAAAAAGATCAAAATACTACCATTTGAATGGGCAGTCAAATCTGTCACTTAGACATGACTAATATTAATCTTTTTTTCCTATATAGGTTTTGTTTAACAAAGTTGAAATATGTATTTATGTTTTCTAAATTTATTCTTTCACAACATATTATGTGCATTGTTTAATGTCATTGAAGAAGCTTCTATTTTTTATTAACTATATTATATTAGATTATTTTATATCAGTTTATTTTGGATCATTTAATATTTGCTTAATGTTATGAACTGAAGGGTATACTCCCCAAAATTTTTAGGTTGAAGCCCTAACCCCTAATACCATAGAATGTGACAGTATTTGGGGGTAGGACTTTTAAAGAAATAATTAAGTTAAAATGAGATTGTTAGGGTGCGTCTTGAATCCAATATGACTGATATTCTTATAAGAAGAGATTAGGACAGAGACAACACACAGGGCTAACCATGTGAGAACACTGCAAGACAGCAGCCATCTGAAAGATGAGGAGAAAGGCCTGAGTAGAAAGCAGGCCTGCTGACACCTTCATCTTAGACTTCTAGCCTAGAGAACTGTGAGAAAATTAATTTGTATTTTTCAGCCACTCAGATTGTGATATTTTGTTATAACAGGAAAACTTTATTTTCAAGTTTTTATTGTGATAAATAAGACTGTAATTTCACAGAATTTTTGGCCCATCTCTGATTATTTTCTTGCACAAAATTTTTACAAAAAATAGTCTTTTAAAAATCTATGAAAAAGACTTTATATATACTTTTAAACTGTCTCTCGAAAAGTTGTACTTTGCAACATTTTCCTCAATTCAATAAGGAAAAAAATCACGTCACTCAGTGTATTTCATTTTGCATTTTAAAAAATTAAAGTGAAGTACAACTTTTGTAATGGCTATTGTCCTTTTTTGTGGTATTGTGATGAGTAAATTTTATAGTCTTAACTCACATGTTAAGTACATATTATTAGTTTTACATGTATTTAGACATATATATTTATATATGATATATGACCTCTGTCCTTTGGTTTTATCACTTAAAAGATTATTTTGGTGTGAATTTGCATGGTAGAGTCAGTTCATTTTCACTGTTGTATAATATTATTCTACATGACTATATCTTGATTATTTACCCATTATGATATAATGGATTTTTAAGTCATTTCTTTTTTATTTTTTTCACTAACAGCATAATTGCTACGAAGATTGTTTTAATGCATTTTGAGCTGCTGTAATAGAATATTACAGACTGGTTATGGTAGCAAGAAAATAAATTTACTGTCCTGGAGTCTGGAAATTTCAATATCAAGGTGTAGGTATCTGGCAAACGCCATCATACCTCATTATCCCATGGCAGAAGGTAAAAGGGCAAGTGAGGGCAAGAGTGAGAGACAGAGGGATGAACTCGATTTTTTTTTTTTTGAGATGGAGTTTCGCTCTTGTTGCCCAGTCTGGAGTGCAATGGCATGATCTCAGCTCACTAGAACTCTCAGGTTCAAGTGATTTTCTGCCTCAGCCTCCCGAGTAGCTGAGATTACAGACATGCACCACCACACCCAGCTAATTTTGTATTTTTAATAAAGACAGGTTTTTCTATGTTGATCAGGCTGGTCTCGAACTCCCGACCTCAGGCAATCAACCCGCCTCAGCCTCCCAAAGTGCTGGGATTACAGGCGTGAGCCACCACGCCCAGCCCTGAACTCAATTTTACAGCAACCCACTGTCATGATTTTATAAACCCACTTCAATGATAACATTAACCGATTCATGAAGGCAAAGTCCCCATGATCTAATCATCTCTTAATGATTCCACCTCTTAATACCATCACAATGATAATTAAATTTCAACATGAGTTTGGGAGAGGACATTTAACCTATAGCAAACATATTCATACTGTTTCTTTTTGCCATGGGGAAAATTCCTCTATGATATATGTCAATAAGTGAAATTACTGGCTTTACTTGTTGGAAGGGACAGCATAATATAATGGTCCCTTATAAAGGGACAAACTCTGAAGCCAGACTACTTGGGTTCAATGCTGTTTGTACCATGAATAGGTTTTTTGATTTTGGCGGTTACCCAACCTCTCTTTGTCAGCTTCCTCAAATATAAATAATGAAAATGGTAGTATTTACCTCACAATTATTAGGATAAAGTGATTTTGCATTTGCACATTTAGGAAAATAACTAATATAGAGCAAACACTCCACAAATGTTTATTGTATTTTCAACAAACCTGATAATCATAAATTATTTTCCAACGTGGTCACATAAATTTATATTTCCACTAGTGATACTATGAGGTCATGCTAACTCATCAGCACGTTGCATTACAGGACTTTTTTACCAAGATGAATGTGATTAGCTATAGTTTATTCATTGTCGCTACTGTATAGTATGCCAGTGTTTACATTTATCGCAGTTCAATCATTCTTTCAAAGGACTGTTGAACTGTTCTCCATTCTTGCTATTACAAACACCACTGATACAAACATTCTGATACGTGGTTCTTGATGTCCACTGGCAAATGCTTCTCCTTAGTATATGCAAAATATAGGCATCCCAAAGACAAGAACATGCCCCAAATTTGAGAGCAAATCAGTTAAAAAGCCTTAGATAATGTATCCATGTCTAAAGTTTAGGCTCAAATCACCAATTCCTGAATATTTCTAAAGGTTTCCCAAAAATCAGCCCTGATACATACAGTATTTCCAAGTCATAAAAACTGATTAGCTTCTTCTCCTAAGAGATTCAGTGGCTGTGTTTCTGGAAAGAAATAAAGGGTTTGAGAGAAGAACTTCAGAAATGAAGTAACAAGTGCTACAACATGCCAAGATAATATGTATTATCTCCAAATGAATATTCTCAATAGCTTGAGTTTGGGAGAGGACATTTAAACTATAGCAAACATACTCATACTGTTTCTTCTTGCCATGGGGAAAATTTCCCTAGGATATATATGTTAATAAGTGAAATTACTGGCTTTACTTGTTGGAAGGATTGCAGAGTTGAACATTCCCTTCACCATCCACAGATTCTGATCATTGGAAAAATAGCACAACAATACCATTGAATAAAGGAAATATTCTAAGTTTATTCCAACATGTGTAGGTGAGGAGCACACAGTAGCAGAGACATAAAAAAAACTTTATCTTCTGCCTTTCCTCATCTGCTTCCCTGCTGGGATTATACCAATCATCCTCAATTTCTTGCCTTTTTATTTAGTCGCTTCTTTAGTATTCATCTTTAATAATGTGTAACCACAACCTGTCATTACAATCAAAGGACAAAATCAAACATAAAAATGTGAATAGAGGCTACATAAAAAAATAATCAGTTTGCTCATTACAGAACCACTGGCAGCTGCCTTAATTCATATTAAGCCAAATCATCTCATTTTATCTTCCTCAGGCTTGGGCTCTCATTCTTCCTTCTGCAATGACCAGAGAGTCTTTGGCTTCTTCCGTCTTGCTGGAAAAAGAACATTCATGGGTACATATGATCTTTTAAGAAATTTCTACATTAAGCCTGTAAAAACAAGGTGGTGGAAATCTCCATTAGATGAGATGTTACAACATGCCATTCAAGTTAGTTAAAATCTAGAGTCCCAGATCTTGTAATAAAGGCAGAAAAGAAATATCAAATGTTATGTGTGAAAAACATGCAATGAAAATAGTGCTGGTTTACAAACGGTTTGAACTTGATGCTTTCAAATTCCTCATAGTTATAATGTTAGAAGCTATTTTAAGCGATAAGTACCACTTGATTAATTTTAACATGGCCAAAGCAATATGTAAAAATGAAACACTGGAACTGAAGTCAGGAGGCATGACTGGTCTTTTACAGGCTGTGTAACTTTAGACAGATCACTACATTTTGTGATTTATAGTCTCACTTTGGTAATAACACATGTGGAATTAAATCACTTTCACTCAATAATCAGAATAGTCCTCCCCTTGATTCACGTACAAGGACAAAAATCAGAAACCCCCTTCTCCATGTTAACCAAAGCTACTTTAATCTGTTACACATATTGGATCAGATGATCTCTAAGGGGCCTTGCAGGGTCTCTAAAATCATCTTAAATAACTAAAGCCATTATGCTCAACCTTGGCTGCAAATTAGAATCATCTTGAGAACTGAAGAATTCTCAGTGCCCAGAATACACCCTCAGAGATTCTGACTTAATTGGCTGATGGGGTCTTGCCAGCAATAATATTTTAAAACTCTTTAGGGAGTTCTCTGCAACCAGGGTCAGGAAACCCTTTTCTCAGGAATTATAAATACATGACTGGATTGGGATTCCTGCTTTGTCCCTTCACATTAACCCACATGCCAAACACCCAAAACCATCCAGTTGGCAAGAAATTAGGCAGCAGACTTGAAAGAAATTGAATAAATATTGTCTCTCCTTGTTAATCCCTCTGGCTAGACTTTCTGTGGAAATAGATTGTTATAAAGTTAATGTGGGCAGCAGAAGCTGGTGTATCCTTAGGCCACGAAGATGAGGAACCAAGAACTGTCTGGGAAAAGCTAGACAGGGTGCATAGATTCAATGAAGTTCAGTAAACTTGGTGGAAACTTTGTAAACCTTTCAGAAAACCTGCAGACTTCCTGCATCAATGCCCCAGGGCAGAATCTCAACAATAACCATGCCAATTTTTGCTGCTGGTTATGGGTGAAGAAGCACAATTTCATGAATTAGTGGAAGATTTATTCTCATTCAGTACATCTAGTCTGCCCTGATTCAGAGAAAGTAGGCACTCAGTTGGTTTTTTATTGTGAACTTTGTAACCTAAATAATCTGTCTTACTCTAGGTATAGAGTAACTCTGTAACCCTAATTCATTAGTTCATGAAGCAACATTCATTAGTTCTATTAGCATTCTTCCCAAGACATGAGATCAATCTACATTTCATGTTTTACAGCACTGTTCTTTGCAAATTATACATCATAGAACTGTTAGTTCCATTTCCATTGGCAAAAAAACAAAAACAAAGTTATTCATCTATTTTAAACAAAACTGAGAAAAAACTATGAAAATTTCTTTGTAATATGAAAGTGCCTATTATGAACATAAGCTTGGTTAAATAAAAAGCTGTCTCTTTATCACAATATGGCAGCATATTGAAAAATGGTGAATAAAAATAATAATTTGTTAGTATTAATATGTATTAATGTATTAAGTACACAGGATCTTATATAATCTGAAAATATCAATAAAATTAGATAGATGATACAAATTGATAGATAGCAATACAAATGGGATAATATAAAAATAACTGATGAAATCATTAAAATTGAATAGAAAGGGCAAAACACAGAACTGAATTGGACATGAGTGCATATATTCTTATTTTCTATAAGAGGCTACATTTGTAGAAATGGTTGAATCTTGTTTAAAGCTGCTAAATATGATGTCAGTTTTTACTTAACACTCAAATGCTCAGTTTTTAGGGTACATTGTTGAGGAG
The DNA here is from genome assembly GCF_000001405.40 of Homo sapiens. Classification (NCBI taxonomy): domain Eukaryota; kingdom Metazoa; phylum Chordata; class Mammalia; order Primates; family Hominidae; genus Homo; species Homo sapiens. The sequence goes on from NC_000003.12 coordinate 110,590,745, forward strand.
GGGACAACAGAAAGATGACTTCTCTTCTTTATTTGAGAATGTAAGTGGTAAAAAAAAGAAGCATTAATATATAATAACTAAATGTTACATAAATAATGTCTATCATTTGAAATTACTATGTTTCAGGTAGTAACAGACTATATGTCTTATCTTACTGAATTATGAAAGATGAATATTACTATCTTTGTGTTACATGTGAAGAGACTGTCTCTCAGACCTTACATAACTAGCCTAGGTCCATATAACTTATAAATGATAGCCCTCTGTGAGTAACAATGAATATAATTACTATAATGCATGACAATTGATAAATGAATCTGAAAATTATTCTGGCTATGTAAGGAATTGGTAAAACATCTTGGAGGAAATAAGCCACTTATTAGCCATTATTTTTGTCAGTCTCTATTTCCTCATCTCCAAGATAAATAACACCATCCTTGAAGCATATTTATGCTCATTTAATGAGATTCCAAAGCCTCTATCTCTATGAATGGCACCAATAACCACTTAGCTAAACACCTGGAAGTCATCCTGACCTCACTTCATGTCTAATTAAGCCATCAAGTTCAAGTATTTTCCTCCTAAATAGCTCTCAAATTCATGTTGTAGTTCCTATCTCACTGACATGGATTGGTTCAAACCCTTATCAATTCTCACTAAGGTTACTCTCACTATTCTTTAACCCATTCTTTTCATTGTGAAAAGTATCATTTTAAACAGCTAATATAATTGGTTTCTATGTTCATTGTTTTTGCGTTACTATAAAGAAATACTGGAGGCTGGGTAATTTATGAAGAAAAGAGGTTTAATTGGCTAGTTCTGGAGGCTATACAGGAAGCATGGCATGGGCATCTGCTCACCTTCTGATGAGAGCCTCAGAGAGCTTACAATCTGTGACAGAAAGACATGCAGGAGCTGGTGTATCACATGGTGAAAGGGGAAGCAAGAGAGAGAATAGGGGAGGCGCCACACTCTTTTATAAAAACAGATCCCATGTGAACTTTCAGAGTGAGAACACGCTCATTACCAAGGGGAAGCACTAAGTTATTCATGAAGGGTTCACATCCATGATCCAATAACTCCTACCAGGCCCCACCTCCAACACTGGGAACTAGATTTTAACATGAGATTTGGATGGGACACACAACCAAACCATATCATTCTGTCCCTGGTCCCCCAAAACTCATGTCCTTCTCACACTGAAAACTACAATTACCCCTTCTCAATAGCCTCCCAAAGTCTTAACTGATTCCAACCCCAAGTCCAAAGTCCAAAGTCTTATTTGAGACATAAGTCAAGTTCCTTCCACCTATGAGCCTGAAAATAATATATTTTTTAAAAGAATGTATTTAACTTCCAAGGTAACAATGGTGGTAAAGACATTTGGTAAACATTCCCATTCCAAAAAGGAGAAATCAGCCAAGAGAAAGGAGCTATAGGCCCCAAACAAGTCTGAAACTCAGCAGGGCAGGAACTAAATTTTAAACCTCCAAAATAATCCTTGACTCCATGTCCCGTATCTAGTGGTGGGTTCTCGAGGCTTTGGGCAGCTCCACCATGGTGACTTTTCAGGGTGCAGCCCTTTAGCTATTCTTATGGGTTAGAGCTGAGTGCCTGTGGCTTTTCTCAGTGCAGGCTGCAAGCTGCCAGTGGATCAACATTCTGGGGTCTGGAGGATGGTGGCCCTGTTTTCACAGTTCCACTAGGCAGTGTCCCAGTGGAGACTATATAGAGGCACCAACCCCACATTTTGCTTCCATACTGCCTGATATGGTTTGGCTGTGTCCCCACCCAAATCTCATCTTGAATTGTAATTCCCACAATCCCCATGTTTTGTGGGAGGGACCAGTGGGAGGTAACTGAATCATGGGGTGGTTCCCTCCTTGCTGTTCTCATGATAGTGAATGAATTCTCACAAGATCTGATGCTTTTATAAGGGCTTTTATAAGGGGCCCATCCCCCGGCCCTTTGCTCTGAACTCCTCCTTGCTGCTGCCATGTAAAGAAGGACATGTTTTCTTCCCCTTCCACCATGATTGTAAGTTTCCTGAGGCCTCCCCAGCCCTGCAGAACAGTGAGTCAATTAAACATATTTCCTTTATAAATTATCCAGTCTCAAGTATTTCTTTGTAGCAGAACGGCTATGAAGAATAAAAATGGACTAATACAGTAAATTGGTACTGGGACTGGGGCATTACTACGAGGATACCTTAAAATATGGAAGCAACTTTGGAGCTGGGTAACAGGCAGAAATTGCAACAATTTGGAGGGCTCAGAAGAAGATAGGAAAAATGGGAAAGTTTAGAACTTCCTAGAGAGTTGTTAAATGGCTTTGACCAAAATGTGGGCAGTGATATGGACAATAAAGTTCAGGCTAAGGTGGTATCAGATGGAGATGAGGAACTTTATGGGTACTGGATTAAAGGTCAGTTTTGCTATGCAAAGAGACTGGTGAGATTTTGCCCCTGTCCTAGAGACCTGCAGAACTTTGAACTTGAGAGAGATGATTTAGGGTATCTGGCAGAAGAAATTTCTAAGCGGCAAAGCATTCAAGAGGAAGCAGAGCAAAAAAAGTTTGAGAAATTTGCAGCCTGATGATGCAGTGTGAAAAAAAAAAAATTTTCTAAGGAAAAATTCAGGCCAGCTGCAGAAATTTACATAAGTAACATGGAGCCAAATGTTAATCCTCAAGACAATGGGGAAAATGTCTCCAGGATGTGTAAGAGACCTTCAAGGCAGCCCCTCCCATTACAGTCCTGGAGACCAAGGAGGGATAAATGGTTTCCTGGGCTAGGCCACCAGGTCTCTATGCAGCCTTAGCACATGGTGCCCTGCATCCCAGCTGCTTCAGCTCCAGCCATGGCTAAAAGGGGCCAAGGTATAGCTCAGGCCATTGCTTCAGAGGGTGCAAGCCCCAAGCCTTGGTGGCTTACACATGATGTTGGACCTGCAGGTGCACAGAAGTCAAGAATTGAGGTTTGGGAACCTCCACCTAAATTTCACAGGATGTACAGAAATGCCTGGATGTTCAGACAGAAATTTGTTTCAGGGGCAAAGCCCTCACAGAGAAGCCCTGCTAGGGCAATGCAAAAGGGAATTGTAGGGCTGGCACCCCCACACAGAGTACCCAATGGGGCACTGCCTGGTAGAGCTGTGAGAAGAGGGCCACCATCCTCCAGACCACAGAATGATAAATCAACCAAAAGCTTGCACTGTGCACCTGGAAAAGCCACAGATACTCAATGCCAGCCTGTGAAAACAGCTGGGAGTAGGGGCTGTACCCTGCAAAGCCACAGGGTCAGAGCTGTGCAAGGCTGTGGGAGCCCACATCTTGCATCAGCTTGACCTGGATGCAAGACATGAAGTCAAAGGAGATCATTTGGAACTTTAAGGTTTAATAACTGCCCTATTGGATTTCAGACTTGTATAGGTCCTGTAGCCCCTTTGTTTTGGCCAATTTCTCCTCTTTGCAACAGGTACATTTACCCAATGCCTGTATCCCCATTATATCTAGGAAGTAATTGATTTGCTTTTGACTTTACAGGCTCATAGGTGGAAGGGACTTGCCTTGTCTTAGATGCGATGATTGGACTTGGACAATTGTGTTAATGCTGGAATAAGTTAAAACTTTGGGGTACTGTTGGGAAGGCATATGGTGTTTTGTAATGTGAGGACATGAGATTTAGCAGGGGGTAGGGGTAGAATGGTATGGTCTGTCTGAATCCCCACCCAAATCTCATCTTGAATTACAGTCCCCATAATCCCCATGTGTCATGGGAGGGACCCAGTGGAAGGTAATTGAATCATGGAGGTAGTCACCTCCATGCTGTTCTCGTAATAGTGAGTGAGTTCTCACAAGATCTGATGGTTTTATAAGGGGTTTTTCCCCCACTTTGCTCTGAACTTCTCCTTCCTGCTGCCATATCAAGAAAGGTGTGTTTGCTTCCTCTTCTGCCATGATTTTAGGTTTCCTGAGGCCTCCCAAGCCCTGCAGAACTGTGAGTCAATTAGACCTCTTTCCTTTATAAATTACCCAGTCTTGGGTATTTTTTCATAGCAGCATGAAAACCGACTAATACATTGCCTTAGTAGAGTTTCTCTGTGGGGTTCTGCCCCTGTAGCAGGCTTCTGCTTGGGCACCCATGCTTTCCCAGACATTCTCTGGAATCTAGGTGGAAGCTGCCAAGCCTCCTTTATTCTTGTATTCTGTGTGCCAGCAAACTTGACACTATGTGAAAGCCACCAAGGTTTATGGAAGCTTGCAATCTCCAAAGAGATATCTCAAACCTGTCTCTGGGGCCCTATGGGCCACAGCTGGAGCCAGAGGGGCTGGGGATGTAAAGAGCAGTGTCCCGAGTCTGAGCAGGGAAGTGTTGCCCTGTTCCTGGCCTGTGAAACCAGTCTTTTCTCTTAGGCCTCTGGGCTTGTGATGGGAGGGGCTGCCTGAAAGATTTCTGAAATGCCTTTGAGGTCTTGTTCCCATTGTCTTAAATATTAACACTTGGCTCCCTTTTAATTATTCTAATTGTTTAGCAACTGGTTGTTCCACAGCCTGCTTGGATTCTTTACCACAGAGGCAGACTGCAAATTTTTCAAACTTTTATGCTCTGCTTTTATTTTAAATAAAAGTTCCAGCTTTAAGTCATTTATTTTCTCTGCATCTGAAATAGTCTATAGGATATTAGAAGCAGCTAGGCCACATCCTGAATGCTTTACTGCTTAGAAGTTTCTTCTGCCAGATAACCTAAATTATCACTCTTAAATTCAAATTTCCATAATTCCCTAAAGAATGGACACAATGCAGCCAATTTGTTGTTGTTGTTGTTGTTGTTGTTGTTGCTACAGCATAACCAGAATGACCTTGGCTCCAGTTCCTAATAACTTTCTTATTTCCATCTGAGACCTCATCAGCCTGGACTTCACTGTACATATCTCTGTCAGTGTTTTGGTGACAGCCACTTAACAAGTCTTCCTTTGACTTCCTGTCTTCTTCTGAGCCCTCCAAACTCTTCCAACCCCTGCCCATTACCTGCTTCCAAAGCCACTTCCATATTTTCAGATATCTTTATAGCAACACCCTATTCCTCAGTACCAATTTTCTGTGTTAGCTTGCCTTTGCATTGCTATAAAGATATACGTGAGGCTGGGTAATTTAAAAATAAAAGAGGTTCATGGTTTTACAGGCTGAACAGGAAGCATGGCACTGGCATCTGTTTGGCTTCTGGTGAGGGCCTCAGAGAGCTTACAATCATGGCAGAAGGTAAAGCAGGAGCCAGTGTGTCACATGGCAATATGGTGGGGAGGTGCCACACTCTTTTAAACAACCAGATCTCATGTGAACTACCAGAGCAAGAATTCACTCATCAACAAGTGGATGGTGCTAAGCTATTTATGAGGGATCTTCTTTCATGATGCAGTAACTCCCACCAGTGTTATACTGGGGAGTTCTCTCACCCTCTAAATCACTGAGCTTCTTAGAGATCACCACAGCATCTATATCCTTATTTTAAATCACAGGCCAACTGAAGGTTGAGGTACCTTGAGGTCCAGCATTCTATGCAGACACTATAGTTGTCTTCCTTGTAGACAAGGAAGGGTTGGTTAAATGAAGGAATGATTGAATGAATGTGTAAATGGAATTTGAACCTTCTAATGCAGACCTTCTGGACACTATTATTGCTATACAGAGTTTAGTTTCTATATCACCACTCCTTATTTGCCCCATGCAATTTTTAGTTCAAAATTTAGCAAGTATCTGAAGTTATTCTTATGAAATACCAAAATCACCATTTGATTTGTCAGTAAAATCAAACAAAAATATTCTGATTATTTCCCTTTAAAATGAACATATCTATTGTTACTGCACTAACAGTTTAGTGTATTCAAAATAATTGAATACACTCTAATACACATCATCCAGTTAAATAGAGATGTAATTGGCATAAGTTTGTATTACTGGAGTTTTTATATTCCAGATATGGTTAGGCCAGAGGTTGAGAATAGGGGAAAATACAATTCTCTCAAAGTATTATTTTTTCTAAACCAGTGGTTGCTGCTGATTTCTGCCCCTCCCTCCCCATTTTGTAACAGGTTAACTTGGTCTAGGTATTTCTGTTTTTCTTCCACCACGTCATTAATGATATATTTATTTTGATGTCGGTATAAAATGTAGTTCATAGGCATTAATGGGGAATTTGTTCCAAAAGTCTAAAGGTCATAGTTAGTAGAAATATTGATTTTATAGATCATTACTTAATGGCAAATTATGATCTGCTCTCTTGACAATCCCTAAATTGATGGAAATGTTTGCTTGTTGAATAAAATTTAATATTTTCTGCTTAAAACTATAACTTATCAACAATTTTTGAATCTTTTTAAATAAATTATTTTTAACTTTTCCAAAGTCCAAGAAGATGTTTACTCAAAATACTGTACTCAAACATCTTCGGTGAATGCTATACCTTTCTTTTTAAAACCTCTGAAGGTTTCTGCTTTAGGAAAATCTGTTCAAACTAAAATTTTCTAAACCTATTTGCCCAGGGAACTTTCCCATTTTTAACCCAAGAAAACCATTGTATTCATTTATTTAAATCTGTTGATACAAACTAATTTTTACTATTTTTATTATGGGCTTTCTCCTGTGCAAAGCATTGATCTGGGTAGGCATGCAAAACATGTAGAGGGATAAGGCATGAGTCTCAAACACAAAGTGCAATACATTCTAGAAGAGAGGTAGAAAATGAATAGCAATACTGTACATTGTAAATTCAGAAAGACCTGAGTTTAAACTTCAGTTTTCCACTTAAGAATTTTGAAAACTTGGACAAAATACTTAAAATATTTTATATCAGTGTTTTCCTCTAAAAAAAAATGAGGATGATAATAATATGTACTTCATACCATACATGGCACACAGTAGGTGTTCAATAAAAAGCAGCCAAAATCAGAGTTAAAAAAAAAAAAAAGATGAAAGAAGAAGGAGCATAATTTGATGGAGGCTTAAAGACAATATAAGAGATTTTGTTAAAAGTCAAATTAATTATATGATTATTCTGATCAATTGCAGAAAAGATCAACTAAAATGGATGAAATAAATCAAACAAGAACCAATTTAGAAGTCATGTAGAGATTAGTCATTTGTATTCACATTTTGCCACGTACCTCTATTTCTATTTCAATGCAAAGTCAATGCTAATAATTTTAGTATAATTAAGATTATTTATATTTATCATCTTTATTATGCAAGCTTTGAAACAGGCAGATATTGTTATTATATTTCTTTTTACAGACAAAGCAGTTCTAGAAAGAAAATTAATTTATCAAAGCCAGTTAGCCTTCAACTAAGTAGAATCTCCTAGTTTCTATTAAAAGCTCATCCACTAGACTTCACTAATTCCAGGACCTAGACCTAGACCTAAAACAGCGATATGTTAATTTACCTGGCCCTACCTATGGACAAAATTGCATGGCTGGCTTTCAAATCATGAGTTGATAGCCCTTGCTTTAAACCATCACAACTAATCAGCCTTGTAAATAGTAAGAATATCCACAGGGATCAGCAAATATTTTCTGTGATTTACCAGATAGTAAATATTTTAATCTTTGAGGGCAATATGGTCTGTCACAAATACTCAACTCTGCCCTTTTAACGCTAGAACAACCATAGATACAAACACACACACACACACACACACACACACACAACACCATAAGCCATTATTATTAATATCACATTAAGTAGTCAGTATTCACTCACATTTACTCATGTAAACCAAAAATAAAATTCTAAGTCCCCCAGTTGACTGAATACACTTCTCATCTTTGTCAATGGAATTTCAAATAAAACCTAAAAAACTACTTCAGGCCATGATGGGAAGGCAGGTCAAACATGCCTCCTTATATACTTTTTCCTTGAGAATTTAGGCACAACTGACCAGCATTAACATTAAAATAGCAATCATAAGACCCTCAAAACAGACTCTTTGTAGAAATGAGATACTAAACTCCAACCTGACTCTGGTATAACATCACATGACAGATAGCAGGTTCTAAAGAAAATAAAAGCATTCTAACACAAAATATATTTCTTTGACATATTTTGAAATGGTCATCCAAAGCCTTCTCTTGTGGAGAAAATTTGCATTCTATAGAGAATGCCCTTCCCTTTCCAGGTCTTTTCCTGAAGCAAGAGAGATTTAACTAAAAGTGTGACACCTTTTAAGGTGCCATAAGAAACATTTACCATCTATTCTCTCTGAAGCCTGTTACTTAGAGGCTTCATCTACATAACAAGAACTTTGGCTTCCAAACCCTTCTTACATTAACTCATGCATTTCTTTATGCTGACTTAAACTCTTCAGGAAAAGCTTAACTCTTTTAACCAATGGCCAGTCAGAAAATCCTTGAAGCTATCTGTGTCCTGGAAGTCCTGATTTTGAGATGTCCCACCTTTCCAGGCCCAACCAATTTATACTTTACATGTATACTTTACATGATTTATGTCTTTGCCAATGACTTCTGTCTCTAAAATGTATAAAACCATGCTGTAACCAAACCACCTTGGGCACACATTCCTGGGATCTCTTAAGACTGTGTCATGGGCCAAAATTATTCAAATATGAAGCTTAGAATAAACCTCTTTAAATAATTTACAGTTTGGTTTTTTTTGTCAACACTCACATAAATAGCTTTCTTGTTGCTCTTCATTCTTTCTTTTGTCATTGTATTTCAGTCTGGGATTATTTTTCTCCTGCCTAAAGAGCTGTCTTTAGTGTATGCTTTCATATGTATCACATAGGAATAAGTTTTTGTTAATTTGAAACATCTTCATCACTTTCATTTTGAGGAATATTATCATTGAGTATAATTTTCCAAGTTGCCAGTTATTTTTGTAGTTCTCTAAACACGGGATTATTTGTCTTCTGGCTCCCTTTATTTTTCCAAACAATATACATTGTTGATATATTTTTGCTTCATTGAAGTTAATGAGCATTCACTACTTCTATAACTGCATGCATTTAAGATCTCTTGTTTTTAGCTTTCAGTAATTTTATTATAATATGTCTGGGTGTGCTTTTCTTTGTATTAATAATTTCTGGAAGTCACTAAACTTCTTAAATCTCTGGGTTCATGTCTTTAACCAGTTTTGGGAAATTCTTGACCATTCTATCTTCAAAACTTGCTCCTTCCCATTCTCTCTCTTTCTTTTCTCCATCAAGAATTCCACTTACATATATGTTGGGCCTTTTCATATGTCTTGTAGTCTCTTATCCTCTCTTCTGTTTTTCCATTTTTTGGTTTTTCTTTAATTTAAAAACGTTTTCTGGTCTTACATTTCCATTCTGTAGCCTTCATCTTTTTTTTTTTTAATAAAGTAAGCAGTTAAGCTACTTTTGTCTACCAATGCATAATAATACTAGTAAATTAATCATTTAAACTTAGGTTTCTGTTATTTTCTCTTCTCTTGGCTTTCAGTTATTTGGTCTTCCTTCCTGAAATGCATGGCTATTTGAAAAATTCTAGAAGAATAAGAGGAAAAAGAATGGAATAAAGACTAGTAGACTTCTGGAATTTTAATCTTTCTTATGGGAGAATTTAATTTTATCCTGGAAGATAGATAGAGTATGATCAGAAACTATGGAAAGTATAGATTAAGTCTTAGAGACATGCCAACCAAACTGAAAAGAAATGAGGTCAATTATATATTAATACCTTAACCATTACTAGATGAGAGTTGCTTTGGGAGAGTTGAATATTCAGAGTTTCCAGTGTGCCCATACATGAAACGAATGTATTTTTCCATAAGACGAAGCTTGCAGGCAAAAAGTCGCAGATACATTCAAAACTTAGAGATGAGTGTGCTGATGAAATTGGTGCAACATCAAAAATGCTTGCTATAAATTTTCTCTGTAATCTTGGACCCTTAAGTCTTTCTGCCATGAAAACTTAATTCTTTCATGAATCTTTAAGTTCTTAATTATTTTCTTATGCCTTTAAATATCTGTTTTATGTAATAATTATAAACTTATTAATGATTTAGAAATTGTTTAGCTTAATAATCAATAATTTTAATTATTTACTTACATTAATAACTGTTCTTGGTGGGAGAAAAGAATTTCCACCACAACGGCCACATGTAGAAATCAGCTCATCCTTTCCCTTCTAAATTTAAGCTATAAACACTGAGAAAGAAGCTCCAGGACACCAGAAAAGAGATGAATCCACAACACCTTCCATTAAGTAGTTTTACAAAATTCTAGGTTTGAGGCTCAGCAAAAATGGAAACTGGGAGAAAATCCAAATATTTGAAACCAAATAAAACACTTGCAAGTAACCCTCAGAATTCAAGGAAGAAAACAAAAGGAAAATTAGGAAGTGTTTTGAAATGAATGAAAATGAAACATGTTAAAATTATGGAATGTAGTTAAATCAGTGCTTAGAAAGAAAATTATAACATAGAGTGCCTATGTTAGAAAAGAAGAAAGATACCAGAAATAAACTCTCAGCTTCTACCTTAAGGAAATAGAAAAGAAAATTTTAAAAAGCAGAAAAATATCAGAGGACAAATCAGTGAAAGAGAAAACAGAATGATAGAGAAATTCAATAACACCAAAAACTGGCTCTTTGAGTAGATCAAAAAAATTGATAAACCCCTAGTTAAACTCATCAAAAATTAAAAAAAAAGACACATATTATCAGGGTCAGGAATGAGATGGGAAAAATCACAACAGATTTTACATAGGTTAAAAGGAAAATCAAGAAATACTATGAACAACTTTATAGTCATAAATTCAGCAACTTAGAAGAAGTGGACAAATTTTTTACAATACACAAGTTCAAATAAACCATATAGCCTTATATGAATTAAATAAATTTATTTCATAGCAAAAATTTTTCCTATAAAATAACCTTTAGGCCCAAATGACCTCATTAATAAATTCTACAAAATATTTATGAAAGAAAAATATAAATTCTACAAATACTCTTCCAGAAGATTAAAGAGAAAGGAATGCTTGCCAACTCCTATGAGACCAGTAGTACTTTGGTATCAAATCAGAGAACATCACCACAAAAAGAATACTAAAGACCAACATCTTTCATGATTATAGATATTTAAGTTATTTTTATTAATTTAGTAAGTCAAATTCAATAATGCATTAAAAGAAAAATGCAGTATGTCCCAGTGGGGTTTTTTCCTGGGAAAGCAAGCTTGGTTTAATATTTTAAAATCCATTAGTATAATTCACCATATTTACAGTCTAAGCAAAGAAAAACCATATAATCATCTCATGTAATGCAGAAGAAACATTGATAAAATCCAACATCTATTTCTGATTGAAATCCTTCCTAACTTGATATAAGGAATATACAAAAAACATAGTTCATATCAGAAGTAATCCTGAGATACTGAATGTTTTCCCCCTAAAATCAGGAATAAGAAAGTCTTATTTAACACTGTCCTGAATGTCCTAGCCAATACAATAAGGCAAATAAATAAATAAATGCCTAAATCAATCAATAAATGGCACCCAGATTGGAAAAAAAAATTGTCTTTATTCACAGACATCCTGATTGTCTATGTAAAAAATTTTATGCAATGTACAAGAACACTACTAAAACCAATAAGTGAGTTAATCAAGTTTGCATAATGAAAGACCATTATACAAAAATCAATTATTTTTCTATGTATTAGCAAAATGCAATGGGAAGGTTCCATCTTAAAAATATCATTTATAATAGCATTGAAACTGTAAAATACATGGGAATAAATCTAACAAGATATGTACAAGACCTGTATACTAAAAACTACAATACATGAGAGAAACTGAAGACCTTTAAAGAAGTAAAAATATGTACCATTTTAATGTGCTAGAAAATTTTGCTATTTTTATAATGCTAATTATTGATAAATTAATCTATAGTTTTAAGACAATTGCAACCTACATTCCATGAACATTTTCAAAGAAGGTCACAAGCTAATTCTAAAATTCATATGGAAATGTAAAAGGCAGAGAATATTTAAAATAACTTTAAAAGCACGAATAATTTCTTGTTTCAAGACTTCTTGTCATATTACAGCAATAAAGGCAGTATGGTATTGTCATAAAAATAGAAAAATAAACAATTATTGGAAGATGGCAGCGGAAGAAGCACCAGGAATCCCTCTCCCAACCTAGACAACAATTGCACTGATGTGACTATTTTGAAACTCTGGAGTCTTTTGAAAGATTGCAACCTCCAGAGGAAGGCTTACATGGTAAGTTGCATCTAGTTCCAGTCAGTTTTAACTCTTACCACAATAGCAGCTATCCATGCCCTACCTCCACCTCCATTACAAGCAGCTGTTCGCAAAATCCAGGAGCAGTTTGCACACAGTTTGTGGGTGCCAGGGTGGGCAAAAAGAACCTTTGTTCTTCAAATATTGAGTATCAGTTCTGAATACTGATTGCTCCTTATGCTCACAGAGTTGCAGACAAAGAGGAAGGTGGCCATTGTTACGCCTCCCTCAATTGTTCCAAATCCCTCCCTCTCTGGTCGAAGTGACTTCTAGAAAATATGAAGGGCCAGTGCCTTTTCTCCCTCTTTATTTATTTATTTTTATTTTTATATGTTTTTTTGAGATGGACTTTCACTCTTGTCACCCAGGCTGTAGTGCAATGGCACGATCTCGGCTCACTGAAACATCCGCCTCCCAGGTTCAAGCGATTCTCTTCCTCAGCCACCCGAGTAGCTGGGATTACAGGTGCCCGCCACCACCCCGGGCTAATTTTTTTTTTTTTTTTTTTTTTTTGAGACGGAGTCTCACTCTATGGCCCAGCCTGGAGTGCAGTAGCGCGATCTCGGCTCACTGCAAACTCCACCTTCCGGGTTTACGCCATTCTCCTGCCTCAGCCTCCCGAGTAGCTGAGACTACAGGTGCCAGCCACCACACCTGGCTAATTTTTTTGTATTTTTAGTAGAGACGGGGTTTCACTGTGTTAGCCAGGATGGTCTCGATCTCCTGACCTCGTGATACGCCCACCTTGGCCTCCCAAAGTGCTGGGATTATAGGCGTGAGGCACTGCCCCCAGCCTAATTTTTGTATTTTTAGTAGAGATGGGGGTTTCACCATATTGGCCAGGCTGGTCTCAAACTCGTGACCTCATGATCTGCCCACCTCAGCCTCCCAAAGTGCTGGGATTACAGGCATGAGCCACCGCTCCCAGCCCCTCTTTATTTTTTTATTTCCCCCCCTTTTTGGTACCAAACGTTAAAGACTAGGTCACTAAGAAGCAACTACTTATATGAGGAAAATTAGAAAGTGACCATATATGCCCAGAGAAAGACGCAGGCTCAGAAAACACGTGAAAAGACCTTAAGTTTACACCTCAAGCTGATCCTTGGCATGGAAAAAAAAAAAAAAAGCCTACAACAATAAAAGATAAATAAAATAAAATAAAATAAAAACAATAAATAAACAACTGCAATAACAAAATAAGGGCAAACTCTGGAGAATTGGGAGAACCTAATTACCAGAATTACCATATTATTAAATTTAAATGTCCAGTTTTCAACAACAACAACAACGACAAAGTCACAGGCGTACAAAGAAATAGGAAAGCATGTCACATATAAAAGAAAAAATAAGTAAACAGAAACTGTCATTGAAAAAGACCTATTATGCAAAAATTCTAAAACAACTGTCTTACAAATGCTTCAAAAATTAAAGGAAGATGTTGATATATAAACAAAATAGAACTATCAGTACAGAGACAGGTAACCTAAGTATGAAACCAAAAGTAAAGTCCAGAGCTGAAATATAGAATAACCAAAATGAAAAATACACACAAGGATTCAAAGGCAGATTTGAGTAGGCAGAAAAAAAAAATTGCAAATTCACAGATAAGACTGTGGAAATTATAGTGTCTGAGGAAGCAAAAGATAAAAGATTAAAGAAAAGTGGACAGAGCCTAAGGGACCTATAGGACAGCCATCAAGTGGACCCACATATACATTGCTGAGTCCCAAAAGGAGATGAGAAAAAGAAAGGAGAAAATAAAATATTTAAATTAGTTATGGCTGAAAACTTTCCAAATGTGATAAAAGGCATTAATACAGAAATCTAAGAAGCTCAACAAATTTCAAGTAATATGAACTCAAAGAGACTGACTGGAACACATTATAATAATACTTTCAAAACTCAAACATAAAGAGAAAATCATGAAAGCAGCAAGAGAGAAGCAACTCACCATATAAAAGGGATCAACAATAAAATTATCAGCAGATTTCTCATCAGAAACTTTGCATACCAGAAGGCAGTGGGCTGATGTATCTAAAGTGGTAAAAGAAAAAAATAAAGTCTGCCAAGCAAGGATCCTATCTCCAGCAAAAGTGTCCTTCAAGAATGAGAGAGAAATTAAGACATTCTCAGATAAAAACTAAGGGGGTTCATTACCAATAGGCCTGCACTGCAAGAAATGCTCAAGGGCATTCTGCAGGGTGAAATGAAAGAGCACTAGACAGTAGCTCAAAGCCATATGAAGAAACAAAGATCTCAATAAAGGTAAATACAAGTACAATTGTAAAAGCTGGTATTATTCTAACAACCGTTAGCAATTCTACTTTTTGTTTTCTACATGATTTAAGAAACTAATACATATAATATATATAAATATATATAATTATTAGTCTAAAATCTAGTATCATAACCTTGGTTTATACCTACATTTTGGTTTTCACAAAATTGAGGACTCTAATGTACGTGAAAATTATTACTTTATGTTTTAGGGCACACAATGAGTAAAAGTATCATTTTCCGGCATCAATAACAGAAAGGGGTGGGGACAGATTAGTAAAGTAGTAGAGATTTTATATTTTATTAAAGTTAAGCTGGCATAAGTTGAAATTTGTGCTGTAACTTTAGGATGTTTAATGTACTCTTTACAGAATAGCAATGGAACATACACGAAGAATATGGGCAAGAAATTAAACCATTTTACTTCAAAAAATAAACTAAACACAAAAGAAGAGATTGATGCAGTGAATGAGGGACAAAAACTATAAAGCATCTGAAAAACAAATAGCACAATGACAGGAATAAGTCCCTCCTTATCAGTAATTATTTTACATGTAAATAGATTAAACTCTCCAATCAAAAGACAGATTGTAAGAATAAATTTCTTAAAAAATATGTTTTAACATAATGTTATTTATGAGGACTCACTTTAAACACAAAGGCACAAATAGATTGAAAGTGAAATAATGGAAAAGATGTCCCGTGCAAATGCAACCAAAAGACAGCAGGTGATAGCTATGCTAATACCAGACAAAATACACTTTAAATCCTAAAAAAGCTACAAGAGATAACAAAGAACATTATATTTTTATTTTTTATTAACCAGTTATAATTGTATATATTTATAGTATAAGATGTGATGTTATCTGTATATAATGCACAATGATTAAGTCAAGCCAATTAACATATTCATCACCTCATCCACCATTTTTTAGGGTGAGAATGTTTGAAATGTACTCCCTTAGCAATTTTGAAATACACAATACACTATGCATGATGTGTGCAGTAGATCTCAAAAAATTATTCTTCAATGTAACAGAAACTTTATACACTTTGACCAACATCTCCCCATTCTCCTCATCACCACCAGCCAAGTGTAAAAATCATTTAACTCTGTACTGTTACAAGATTGACTATATTAGATTCTACATATCTGTGAGATCATGTGGCATTGTCTTTCTGTGCCGGGCTTATTCACTTAACATAATGTCCTTCAGGTTCATTCATGTTGTTGCAAATGAAAGAATCTTCTTCTTTTTTTAAGGCTGAATAAATTCCTTTGAATATATATAGATATTCTTTTAATCCATTCATTCTTTGAGGAACCCAGGTTGATTCCATATCTTAGCTATTATGAGTAATGCTTCAATGAACATGGGAGAGCAGATATCTCTTTGACATACTTATTTCAAATCTTTTGGCTATATACACAGAAGTGAGATTTCTGGGGAATATAGCAGTTGTATTTTTACTTTTTAAAGGAAACTCTATACAATTTGCCATTGCGGCTATACCAATTTACATTAATATCAAAAAATGTACAAGGATTCCTTTTATTCTGTATCCTCTTCAACACTCATCTTTTGTCTTTTTGATAATAGCTATTCTAACAGGTGTAAGGTGATATCTCAATGTGGTTTTAATTTGTCTTTCCCTAATGTTTAGTGATGTTGAGCATTTTCTTCAACTACATATTGACCATTTGTGTGTGCTCTTTTCAGAAATGTCTCTTCTAGGTACTTAGACATTTTTTAAGCAAGTTCTTCCTTTTCTTGCTGCTTAGTTGTTTGACTTCCTTACACAGTTTGGATATTAACCCCTTATCAAATGTATGGTTTGCAAATACTTTCTCCCAATCTGTGAGTCATCTTTTTATTCTTTCAATCATTTTATTTGCTGTGCAGAAGCTTTTAATTTGTATAATCCCATTTATCTATTTTCGCTTTTGTTGCATGTACTTTTGGGGTCACATCCACAAAAATCACTGCCCATGTCAATGCCACAGAGCTTTTCCCCTATGTTTTCTTCTAGTAGTTTCACAATTTCAAGTCTTACATTTACGTTTTTAATCCATTTTGAGTTAAGGACTGCAACACTACTTTCTCAGCAATGGGTAGAACAACCGGACAGAAGGTAAGGAAAGAAATACAGGACTTAACCAACACATTAAACCAACTTGATTTAACAGACACATACAGAACACTACCTAACAAAAATAACATACATATTCTCCTCAAGTATACATCAGATTTTTTTCAGGATAGACCATATGATAGGCCACAAATAAAGTATCAATATATTTTAAAATATAGATGTCTTATGAAGTATCTTCTCCAACCACGATGGGGTAAAAATTAAACAACATGGAAACAAGCAATGGATCAAGGAAGAAATCACAAGAATAAATAGAAAATACTTAAAAATGAATAAAAGTGAAAACGTAATGTACCAAAACTCATGAGACACAGAGAAAGCAGTGATAAGAAAGAAATTTATAGCTATAAAGGCTTACATTTAAAAAAAAAAAGTCTGTAATCAACATCTTAAATGTATAACTTAAAGAATTAGAAAAAAAGGAAGGACAAAGTAAACTCAGAGCTAGCAGAAAAAAAAGGAAGTAGTAAAAATTAGAGCAGAGATTAACAAAATACAAATAGAAAACCACTCAAGAAAATCAATAAAACTAAAAGTTGATCTTTTAGAAAGATCAACAAAATTGAAAAATCTTTAACTAGATGGACAAAGTAAAAAGAGAGAGAGAGAAGACGTGGCCAGACATGGGGGCTGATGCCTGTAATCCTAGCACTTTGGGAGGCTGAGGCAGGAGGATCACTTGAACTCAGGAGTTCAAGACCAGCCTGGGCAACATAGTGAGACCCCATCTCTATTATTTAAAAATAAAGATTTAAAAAGATGGAAGACACAAATTACTAAAATTGGAAATGAAAGTGGAAACATTATTACCAATTCTACCTAAATAAAAAGATTATAAGAGAATACTATGAACAATTATACACCAATGTATTGGATAATGAAGATAAAATGGAAAAATTTCTAGAAATACAAAAATCCACCAAGACTAACTCATGAAAAAACAGAAAATCTGTATAGACCTATAGCTAGTAAGGAAATAGAATCATTCATTTAAAAACTCCCAAAAAAGAAAAGCCATGGAGCTAATGGTTTCACTGGTGAATTCTACCAAACATTTAAAGAACTAACATTGATCCATCTCAAACTTCTCTCAAAAAAACTGAAGATAAAGTAACACTTCCTAACTCATTCCATGAGGTCAATATTACCCTGATACCAACTACAGACAAAGACACTGCAAGAAAACTACAAACCAATGTCCCTGAAGGCCACTGATGCAAAAACTCTTAACAAATAATAGCATATTGAATATAACAGTATATTTAAAAGATTGCACCATGACCAAGTGCAAGAATGGAATGCAAGAATGGAATGCAAGAATGATTCAACATACAAAAATAAATCAATGTCATACACCACATTAACAAAATGAGGAAGGGGAAAAAGCACATGATTATCTCATTTGATGCAGAAAAAAAACACTTAAAAAATTTAACATTCTTTTATTATAAAAGTACTCAATGAACTAGGAATGAAAGGAAACTACCTCAACATAAGAAAAGCCATATGTGAAAAAGTCAGTGGACAACATACTCAATGGTATAAGATTGAAAGCTTTTCATCTAAGGTCAAGAATAAGGCAAGGATATCTACTTTTACTACTTCTGTTCTACACAGTACTGGAAACTCTAGCCGGATCAGAAAGGTGAAAAATTAAATTTACAAAGGCATCCAAGTAAAAGAGAAAGAAGTAAAATTATCTCTTTTCACAGATGTTATGTTTTATGTAGAAAACTCAAATGATTCCACAAAAAATGCCTAAAACAGATCAATGAATTCAGAAAAGTAGCAAAACACAAAGTCAACACACAAAATTCAGTTGCATTTCTATGCATTAAAAATGAACAATAAAAATGGAAATTATAAAACAATTCTAAAAAATAAAATATTTATAAATTAATGTAAGGAATAAAAGACATCAACAATAAAATTACAAAACATTGCTGAAAGAAATTAAAGAAGACATATATGGTTGGAAATACATGCCATGTTTATGGATATGACAACTTAAAAATGTGAAAATGTCAATATTACTCAAAGTGATTCATAGATTCAATTTAATCCCTATCAATATCCCAATGACCATATTTGCAGAAATAGAAAAACCCATCCTAAAATTTGTGTAAAATGTCAAAGGACTCCTGAATGGCCAAAACAGTCTTTAAAAAGAAGAACAACCTAGAAGACTCACACTTCCTGATTTTAAAAGATACCAAAAAACTAGAGTAATCAAAGGAATATGGTAGTAGCATAAAGTCAGACATTTAGACAAATGGAATAGAATGGAAAGTTCAGAAATAAACTCTTACATATATGTTTTTGCATCAAAAACACTATCAAGAGAGTAAAAAGGTCACCCATGGAATAGGAAAAAATATTTTCAAATTATATTTCTGATGAGGGATTAATAATACACAGAACTCCTAAAACTCAATAACAGAAAAAACAAACAAGGTGATTCAAAATGGGCAAATAATTTGAATAGACAAATACATGGAATAGAATATAGTCGAAAATAGACCCACATACTATAAAATTTAACAAGGGGCAAGGGCAATTCAGCAGAGAGAGAATAGCCTTTTAACAAATGTTGCTTAGACAACTGGATATGCATATGCCAAAATAAAAACAAATAAGCAAAATAAACAACCAAAAAACTTTAACACTATATCCATCACACTATATATTTTTTAAACTCAAAACGGTCATAAACCTAAAACAAAAAGAAAACATAGGAGAAAATCTTTGTAAGCTTGTACTAGGCTTGGATTTCTTAGAAATAACACCAAATGCATCATCCATAGAAGAACTATAGATAATTTGGGCTTTATTAGAATGTAAAACTTCTATTTTCTGAAAGGCACTGTTAACAGAATGGAAACATAAGTCACAAATTTGGAGAAAATATTACAAATCATATATTTGGTAAAGGACTTCTTTCCAGAATAACAAAGAAAGCTCCAAACTCAATTAAAAAAAACTCAGTAAAAAATAAACCAAAGGTTTGAAGAGACACTTCACCAAAGAAGATATACGAGTGGCAAATATGCACACACAAAAAGTGTTCATCAGTTGTCCTTAAGCAAATGCAAATTTAAAAAATAATGAGATACTACTATACACCTAGTGGAATGGCTAAAGTTAAAAATCTGATGATTCCAAGTGTTAACAAGTTTGTGGAAGAACTGAAAGTATCATACATTGCTGATAGGAATGTAAAGTAGTTCAACTACTTTGGAAAACAGTTTGAGAGTATCTTAAGAAGTCAGATATACCCTTAGCATATGTTCAGCCATCTCATTCCTAGGTATTCATCCAAGAGAAATGAAAGCATGTCTGCCCACACAAAGACTTATACACTGATGTTATAGCATTTGCATATTTGTTATCATAGTTGTAATTTACAAAAATGTATTTGTAATTTACAGAAACTAAAGACAACCCAAATATCCATCTTGAGTGAATAAATAAACAAACTTGTAAATTGATACAAGGAACCAATCAGCAATAAAAAGAATGGACTATTTATACATGTAATAACATAGATGAATCTCAACAATAATTATGCTGAGTGAGAGAAGCAGTTTCTATAAAATTCTAAAAACTGCAGATGAATCTCTGGTGAGAGATGGGAGATCCACTGAT
This sequence comes from Homo sapiens, assembly GCF_000001405.40. Lineage (NCBI taxonomy): Eukaryota > Metazoa > Chordata > Mammalia > Primates > Hominidae > Homo > Homo sapiens. The sequence goes on from NC_000003.12 coordinate 110,611,097, forward strand.
GCCTGAAGGTAGCGGATAGGAAGAATAGATGGTACTGATTAAAAAGGGGCATAAGGACACTTTTTCAGGTGATAAATATGTTCACTATCTTGATTGTGGTGGTGGGGAGTTCATGGATATATATATGTCACATATTATCAAATTGTACATCTTAAGTATATGCAGTTCATTTTGTGTTAATTATACCTCAATAAAAGTGCTTTTATAAAGTCCAAGGAGCTCAAAATACTCTTTCTCTTATACTTGGGGAAGGAGATAAGGGTTTGCCTGTCACTTCAGCATGGGTTCAAAGATACTACCTACACTTGCTGAGGAATGATGGGAAGTGATTACATCCAGTGCTAAATTTGTACCCTCACTTGAGGAAGTTCCAGTGGGTTAGACTTCACCTACTCTTAAGGATATGCATTAACAGATCTAAGAAAAGTTTCTGTACAAAGAATCTTCTCCCCTTATTTTGCTAAGATTACTTATTACAATATTTTGTTTCTGAGAAAAGCTGTAGAAAGCCTTACGCAGTACACTTTATTGTCACATTTATTAATTCTGTTTTTCCCCAGGAAAAATAAAAAATTAATTACACAGTAAAAATCTAGAAGGATATCTTTAGGCTCATGAAAGGAAAGTACATTCAAAAAGAGGATTTTACTGAAGACTGTCTAGAACCAACATACGTTATGAACTGAGCCCTTAAATGCTAAAATTTGAGAAGGAGGGGGATATTCCAGGTGAATAAAATAGAATGATCAGATCAAGCAATGTTAACATAAGAGTAGTAAAAAATTACAATGATTCTTTCCCTAATATCCATATTATTGCTTTCCCATCTTGTCAGACCTCTGCTTAGATGTCATCTCTTCACTCAGAACTCCTAATGCCACTCTGCATAATGTTAGCCTTCAACTCTTTTGCACTACCATCTTACCCTGCTCTGTTTTTTTTTTTTTCTTTTTTGGAGCATTATCAGCACCTGACATCTGTAGCTTGTCATGAAGTATTTATTTGTTTCCCTTTTCCCCACAAGAAAATAATATCCATAAATGTAAAAACATTGTCCAAAGGTCATGTTCACACAATGTCCTCAGATCCTAGAACAATGCCTGGCACACAATACCAGCTCAATAAATATTTGTCGAATAACTGTAGTAGTAGTAAACTACAAATAAGCAAATATTTGTGCCTCTTCCTTACTACTACTCTGTTGTGAAGCGTTTAGAAAGCAATCAATAAACTAGATTCTATCTTGTGTTTCTTTCCCCAAACTCGGAGCTTCTCCTGGATCACAAACACCTGCTAACACGATCCTTTGAAGCCAGAGCCCATTCTTCATTTTAAAGCTTTTTTTATGTGTTCTGTATCCCAGACTGGCAAATAAGTCCCCTACGTTCCAGAAGCTTACATTCTAGACTTGCTTCTTATTACAGGCTTCCTGGATACCTTTGTCAATAAAAAAAGGAAACAGGAGAAAAATAATTAGATTTGCATATCTGCAAGAGTCGTTTAATTTTCTATCATAAGTGTAGCTCCTGAAAAAAAATTCCACTAAGATTCATGCAAATCACTTCCAAAAGACCTCACACTGAATAAAATTCTTAGAGTAAAATAGCGTCTTCAAGGGTATAGCCAGATACGCCTCTGTAAAGTTTAGTGTATGAATGTAGACATGGGCATCTGTTTGGTGGGTTTGATGGATCACAGCACCAACTGGCGACAGGGTCCGTGGCTCCCTTGGTCCCAACCCTGAAAATCTCTCCTCCACTATGGATATGTAGGAGTAATTATCCCAGGTCCCAGACTTCAAGATGGGTCAAAAGATAAATAAATTATGGGTTTTCTACAAAAGGAGCCTGACAGTGGTATCTTGGTTCCAGATAATTTTAATAAGGTCCATGGTCCTCTCTATAAGCTGTAGAAAAGAGAAGTACTGTCAGTTTGTCAGACACCTTCATGCTAACTCACTGGTATATGAAGCAATTAGAACTAACTTGTGCTTATACCATTTCACAGCCACACCTCAAAATGCTGCTAACCTTTAGCTAGAACACCATGCTCAATCATCCTCTAATATTACCGGTGCCAAAAAAACTAAAAATTCCCTAAGAGATAACAATAAAAAGTCATCCATTTATGCTGCAAAATGCATCTCCCCATGCATATAGCACAGAATGCAGAAGCTAGGAGGACTTTAATTAATAGGATGCTTAGATTCTGATTCAACTGACATAAAGAAGTGAAAGATACAGGAGGTTAAATAATTTTCTCACACTCTAGGAAACAAAGCTAGGATAAGAACCTGAGTCCCCCAACTCCCATTTCAGTTATTTTTCTACAACCTTCAATAATGTTCTAGATTTGTGGTATTTAAGCATTTTTGTTTAGCAGCAGGACCCTTTCACAAAAAAATTTCTACTATAAATCTAACATAAGCAACAAAGATGAGGTGATCTGATGGGAGAATTGTGGAGCCACCCCTCCACAAAATAGCAGAGTCCAAGCTTTGCTTTTTGATATGGTTTGCCAGCCCCACCTCACCTTGAATTGTAATAATCTCCTTGTGTCAAGGGCGGGACCAGGTGGAGGTAACTGAATCATGGGGGTGGTTTCCCCCATGCTGTTCTCATGATAATAAGTGAGTCTCATGAGATCCAATGGTTTTATAAGTGTTTGGCATCTCCCCTGCTTGCACTCATTCTCTCTCCTGCTGCCCTGTGAAGAGGTGCCTTCCACCATGAGTGTAAGTTTCCTGAGGCCTCCCCAGCCATGTGGAACTGTGAGTCAATTAAACCTCTATCCTTGATAAATTACCCAGTCTCATGTATTTCTTTCTTCACAGAAGCATGAGAATGGACTAATACACTTTTCCTATCAACAGTTGAAGACTAGAAGAAATGACTAAGAAAAAATTGCAAAGTTTTTGAAATCTGACTACAGCTCACAGCACCACTGTTTCTAATACACTTTTCTCTATTTGGTGGTCTAACCTGTCCTAATTTATGATGCATTTAGCCCCTCTGAACAATAACCCTATTATTTAAAGCTGGAAGCAGTCATTGGTACATTGATTTAAAACTATTCTCACTAATACTTATCCAGTCACAGTCCAATTTGCCTTACAAGACTCTTTTTAATTTTGAAATATAAATTTCCCTCCTGTTAAACATTTTAAACATTTGAGAACAGTTTAGGGCAACCATGTAGACAACAGAGCTATAAATCTGCTATATGAAGCAGAGATCTCTAACTGACTTTGGTTATTTCAAGCAACCCGAGCTGAAATCAGGAGGACTATATATTTTCTTTTCAGCTCTACATGCCTGAATTGTAAAGCTGACCCAGCCAGTTACTTGCTATGTAACCTTTAGTACATTTCTTTACTTTTCCTAGTATCAATTTTCTTATCTGCCAATTGGGCTTAATCATTCTGTTTCAGAAGTTTGTCAAGAAGCAACAAAGATGATAAAGAATATAGTACAGCGTACAGTGCTTAGGGCAACAGTAAACATTGATCCAGTGTCTAATTTCTTCTCTCCTTTTGGAGAGATGATGGTTTGAGTAAAATAAGCTGTGACTGCTAATGTCCTATTCCAGGTAGCTGACGGAAAGGAAGATACCATCAGCTACAGTGTTTTGGAACTGGTACATATTCTTCCCAAATAAAAGCTCACTCTTCATTCCAGCCCTTTCCCAATCTTGATTTTTACTCCTTTGCTTTCTAGATGGTTCATTCATTCAACAAAAGTGGGGTTTTAATTCCTGGTTTCTTTCTTTCTTTCTCTCTCTCTCTCTCCATCTCTCTCTCTCTCTATGTCTCTCTCTCTCGCACACACACACATACACACATGCACACAAATAAGGCACAGTTTATTTTCTTAAGGGTTAAGGTTCTGTATAGAAAAGCTACACATTTTTCTCATAGCCACACACACCTAAGGGTTTCACAAATACTTATGGGGTGGTTTATCATATGTAGGAGTCCTTAAGATACTAACAGAATTATATAAATAATTATAGTTTAGGATATGAAAGTGGTTGTGTATATATACCTGTTTATCCTACAGTTTTATAAATGGCATATAGTTAATTCTATAAAATGGGTGTTAATTCTCATCTTTATGTGGTCTTTTTGAAAACTCAAACTAAAATAACTTTTCAGAAATTGAAAAGAAACTTAATTAAATGGATGCCAGTGATAAACTTAATTAAATGGATGCCAGGATTTCAGTGTCCAGAGTGGGCAAATAAATCTAGAAGTCTTCCTGTCTCAGTCATAGCATCACTTGACCAAGGGCTTCCTATCAGTCTCCAGCTTAGTGCATCCCCCCCTTCCCCTGCTCTGTTTTTGTTCCACAAGAAATAATATTTCCTAGGATCTTCTGCCTCTGGGCCTCTGGATAGATTTGGCCAATAAGAAGACAGTGGCAGGGGATTGGAGGATAGGATGAGGAAGTAAGCTGAGGTACTTCTCCGCCTTCTCTATTTCCTGTAGTGTCTTCAGCAGTGGCTATGTTTCCTCCATGACAATAGCTCCTGTTGGACAAATGGACTGTGGTCCAGTTCCTGTGGAACATCCTCTCTGTCTATCTAGCCAGGTGATAGGGACTTCCTGCTAATTCTGATTGCTTGATTGCCTCACTAGCTATTTGGCTTCCCAGAGATTCTAGCACCTGTTGAATCAATTCCAAGAGTTAATTTTCTTGTTTTAGATATATACAGTGATCTCAGTATTTGGACTTTGCCTTATATACAAGGCTTGTTCTGATGTAAGTATACTATACATTTAGATATGTGCTGTGCATATGTCTGTGTAAATGCTGTGAACACAGATAAAAAATTAACTTATGTTATATCCAACACATTACCTGGGATGCAGTAGGTATTTAATGTGCATTACTTGGTGAATTGACTGTATATGGTATCAGGGAAAATAGCATAAAACGTAATTCAAATGTGAAAAATACATACTAACTATAATCATTTTATGACTTAAAACCATTTATGCCTCTTCACTGTTGTGACAGTAATACATGTGTCAAATCAACAGTGTTCAGTTTCAATTGAATAGGTATATAAACTATACATAGGTCCACCCCTTCATTTTTCACTCATTTGAAGTGATTGCCTTCTCAACACTTAAATATTTATATTGCTGCCAGGCACAGTGGCTCATGCTAGTAATCCCAGCACTTTGGGAGGCCAAGGTGGGCGGATCTGAGATCGGGAGTTCGAGACCATCCTGGCCAACATGGAGAAACCCCATTTCTACTAAGAATACAAAATTAGCCGGGTGTGGTGGTGCATGCCTGTAATCCCAACTACTCAGGAGGCTGAGGCAGGAGAATTGCTTGAATTTGGGAGGCGGAGGTTGCAGTGACCTGAGATATCTCCATTGCACTCCAGCCTGGACAACAAGAGTGAAACTCCGACTCAAAAAAAAAAAAAAAAAAGAATGTATATTGTCTGTTTTACAGGAGACTCCTTTCCTCAAAACTCCAAAATTTGGTTAATGTAGTTTTTTGTTTGTTTGTTTATGTTTTTTGGTTTGGTTTGGTTTTCTTTTGTTTTGAGAGACAGGGTCTCACTCTGTTGCCCAAGCTGGATGGATTGCAGTGGCACAATCACAGCTCACTACAGCCTCGACCTCCTGGGCTTGATCAAGCAATCCTCCCACCTCAGCCTCCCAAATAGCTGGTACTCCAGGCACACACAACCATGCCCAGCTAATTTTTAAATTCTTTTGTAGAGACGGTGTCTCACTATGTTGTCCAGGCTGTTCTCAAATTCCTGGACTCAAGCAATCCTCCTGCCTCAGACTCCTGAAGTGCTGGGATTACAGGTGGGAGCCACAATGGTTGGCCCTGATTAATAATCTGTTTAGCAACAATTAATCAATATTTTAATGGCATTATATCAATACTCTCTGGAGTTGATAGGGCAAATGAGAAATCAAAATTGATTAAAAAATTAAGTATCCCCAGAGAAGATATAATGATATAGTTGATTTTTTAGTCTAGACTATCCCTATAAGATATAAATATTCTGAGTTATGGAAACAATTAGAAAATAAAATTTTAAAATAATTTACAATGGAAAGAAGTAGAAAAACTGATTAGAGAAACATTGTTAGCAAACCACTTAGAGTATTAAATCAATATTTTTAGGAAGATTAATCAGTAATGTGGCAAAGTGAGTGAAAGAAATTAGCAGGCTATCATAATTAATGCATGAGATGAGACGAGCACAAATGACAGTGGTCACCGTTATAGTGAAAAGAGTGGAATGAGTGCTAGAAACGTGGTGAAGAACACATTTTTAAAGAGTTATGTCTTCTTGATTAATAATACAAATAATGCTAATTACCATTAATATTCAAAAGAAAAGATGGCAATAACAATGACTTCAAAGTTTCTAGTCAAGATCCAGAAGACTGGTGATACTGTCTACAGAAATAGTTAAGGTAAAACAAGAAACCAGCCGGGTATGGTGGCTCACGCCTGTAATCCTAGCACTTTGGGAGGCTGAGGTGGGCGGATCACGAGGTCAGGAGATCGAGACCACGGTGAAACCCCGTCTCTACTAAAGATACAAAAAATTAGCCAGGTGCAGTGGCAGCACCTGTAGTCCCAGCTACTCAGGAGGCTGAGGCAGGAGAATGGCGTGAACCTGGGAGGCGGAGCTTGCAGTGAGCCGAGATCTTGCCACGGCACTCCAGCCTGGGCAAAAGAGCGAGACTCCTTCTCAAAAAAAGAAAAATAAATAAAATTAAAAAAAAAAAACACAAGAAACCAAGCAGGAGGGAAGATGGTTAATTTTGGCAGGTACATAGAGTTTAAATAATGCTAAATATCCACATTTAAATGTCCAGCATAATGGGAAATTTCAACCTTCAAACTGGATTATTTTCAAAACTTAAATTTATTTATAGGTGAACTACATTCTTACCCTGCTAATTAGTTGGTGAAATACTTTAAATAGAAGGAAGCAACTAAATTCACACTTTAAAAGTCCATGGAAATTTTTTCTAAAGCACCAATGGGGAGGAAAGTCAATATTTTTATTTGTTCATTTGATTGATAGTAATGAATACTGGCTTTGCTCAGACAAGGCAAAGAAATTTAGGATTTCCAAAGCAGTAGCCAAGTATGATTTGTTTATTTCATCCATAATCTTCTACCTGAGTGTTTCTTTCTGAAGAAAATTACACTTCTTGCTCTTAACACCACTATAAAGAGTGGAGTGCATCACGTTGCTTCCCCTTCAGCAGGTTTAACTTTATTTTGTAATTAACAATAGCTAGTTTGGGAATTATACTGTGATATCACTTGGTTTTGAATTTTCATTGAGTCTTTTTATGAAAAATTACAAACTCCTCAGAGGGACTGATGTAGTTTGTTGCCATGGATAATTGTCTCTAAATAAACTCAGGGTAGTTAAGTGGATATGAACAGATGGAAATAAATTGATTGAAGTTGTCTATTGTGCCTCTTGGCTCCTGTTTATTTGTTACCAGCAGCATATCTTTTTGTCTTGTCAGGCCTGGCATTTTGTGCACTTGAACTTTAACAATGTCAGCTGGATTCCTCCTCAAAACTGGCATAGAAATTGCTCCAGGGTACAGCCCTCTGCCAACCTGGCCAGAACCACAGCAGAAACCAATAGCCTAATTACAGTTCTCTAAGCCTCATAGGAAGAAGGTCACATATATTGGTACAGCTGTCTAACCATGTCCAAGTTTATCTAACCTCAGATGAATTGTAGGCAGGTTCTATTAAAGCATCACAATCTCTCCACTCTTATTTTACATATAGGGAAAATTAAGTTAGAGGAGAGAAAAATATTCAGCCTGGTGTTTAGTCATTCATTAAACTAATTTCACAATTACGTATTAAGTGCCAACTACAGGCCAGCCACTATTCTGGGCACCAAGAATTCAATAGTGATAAGGCACAGTCTCTGCCGTGGTGTTGGTAAGGGTGACAGACAAGTCAGCAGGAAATTAAGATACAGTATGATCAATACTTTGAAAAGCACAAGCTAAGAATGTAAGAATGGTATAGGAGCTCACAAGAGGGACACTTCCCTTAGTCTTGATGACTAGTTTCCAAAAGAAGGAACACCTATTGTGACCTGAAAGATGATCAGATAACTGGCCAAAAAATAACTCACTGCCAAACTTACTGGCCATCCAATCAACCTTGGCTCCTAAATATTTCAATTTAAACCAATAAATGCTTATGAGAATCCTGCATGTTTCTAACACTTTGATAGAAATTCTAGGAGAATTCCAGAAAAATATAATACCAAGATGCCTGCCCTCAGAAGACTGCAGTTCTATTGGAGAAAGCAGAATCAAAACACTTGAACCAATTAGGAGACAGTAAGAAGAATATTAAAGACTATGACATGTGTTATAAATAATATTATTGTATGAGAGATCCTCAGAGTCACTAGATAGACATCAATTGAAAGGCAGAGCTAAGCTGAGGCTTGACAAATGGGTAGGCAGTAAAGTGAGAATTTTTATCTTCTCCAGATATCACTAATCTCACCCCAAATTATGGTTAGATTCTACCCACAACATTAATGCTGAAAACATTTTTTTTCAGACTGATTCTTTTGGAAACCACTTCTTTTCTCAAACCAACTCTTACAGGCTCAATGGCGTTGCCCCCCAAAACTAGGCTGAACTCCCAGTAACTGGAAATGTTACCTTATTTAGAAATAGGGTCTTTTCAGATATAATCAGGTTAACATGAGGTCATACGAATTAGAATGGGTCTGAATCCAATATGACTGGTGTTCTTATAAGAAGAGAATCAGAGACAGACACACCAAGAATTAGTATGATGTGAAAACACACAGAGAGAATGTCATGTGATGATGGAGGAAGAGATTAGAGTGATGTGTCTATAAGCCAACGGGCTCCAAAGATTGCCAGTAACACCAGAAGCTAAGAGAAAGGCATACAACAGATTCTTTTACTGAGCCTTCAGAGAAAGCATGAAAGTAAATGACACCTTGATTTCAGACATTTAACCTCCCAAACTGTGAAGGAATAAATTTCTGTTAAGTCACCTGGTTTGTGGTACTTTGTTATGGTAGCCCAACGAAACTAATACACAAACTGGGCGTGTTGACTCCTGAAAGAAATTTGGCATGTGTGAATACTGTAAATGAATAATAGCTTTAAGATTGTGTGGAATTTCAAGTGATATGAAAAGATAAAGGATTCAGCAGCAGGGCAAGGTTGATTACCCAAAGGGCGTTATTGCAGATAATGAGCTTCTGAACACAGAGATTAAGCCCTCCACAGCATCAGCCTCAGACATAACGGCATTAAGGAACTGGAGAACCTCTGCCATAACTAGTGTAGGCTTCTCAGGGGCTCTGGTTCTCCTCTCCTAGGAATATCCTTTTAAATAAAATATTATAATATCAAAGGTGTGAATATTTTGCTCAAGGAGTATGAAAATTGCAATATTGTTTTATGTAGTTTTGGTTAGCTGATAAGTTTTACAACATCATGTAGTTTTTTAAATCATATTTAAAAAAATACATATAGAAAGAAAATAATAAAGAAAAAATATATATACATAATCACCAAATGTTTAGAAAGTACATATTTACACTGATGGTGGCATTTCAAACATCCTGGTAGCTCTACTTTTAAAATATATGCGACCACTTTCCATAAATAGCAAATCTGCATTTATGGTCCAAGCCACTGCCATCTCCTACCTGAATTATTGCAACAGGTTCCTCACTGTTTTCATTCTTACCCCACAAGGGTCCACACAACAATCAGAGCAATGTTAACAAGTCAGTCTACATCATTCCTCTGATCAAAACTCTCCAATAACCCCCTATCTCTTCTAGCATGAAAGAAACCCAGAGCCCTTACAGACAGTTCTTCAATGCCTTATAAGATCTGGACCCAGTTACCTGTCTGATCTCATGTCCTACTATTCTACTCCTACAGAATTTCTATCTTCCTAGGACTACAATCATGCCGGGCATGTTCTTGCCACAGGCTAGATATCCCAGAACGTATCCTTCACTCCTCGAAGCCTTTGCTCAAATGTCACCTTCCTATCAAGGTCTTCCAGACCATATTATTAAAATGACATCACACACTCTCTACATTCCCCAACCCCTTTCTTGCTTTTTCTCCAATGCACTTATCATCTTGAAGTATACAACATAATTTGCTTATTTAATTGATTTACTGCTTGTTTCTTTCCCAGCAGCTATAAGATCCATGAGAACAAGAATTTCTATTTATTCTGTTGGCTGCTATATTTTATTGCCTAGAATCATATCTGGCATAATAGGTACTCAATAAGTATTTGTTCAATGACAGGATAAGGATATTTATCTCAGCATTATTTAAAATAGCAAAACATTGGAAATGACCTACATGTCCAATAAAGGAATGGCTAAATGAACAATGATACTTTTCAACAAAATATTATATGCCTGTTAAATTAACTATATGTGCTGCATCATCTGTGCAATTATTTACAATCAAATAATTTTAAAAGTTGAATACAATCATAGGTTTCTTTTAAAGGCAACTACATCAAATTGCTTGTGAATATGGAATAAGAAAAAATAAAAATGCTTTGTTAGGGTGATGGAATTATAGTACATTTTGGAGTTTTAAATAATAATGTTTGATATCTGTGTCACTATACATATTTTTAAAGTAAAATTGAGCTATATTAGAATACTAAAAACAGAACTGGGTTATATTTTGAGAGAGCTACATTCATTGTCACGTGGTGAAGTTTTAAAAATCAACTTTATTCTGATTATTAAAACTAGCAGCTTCATTCTTGAAGAGCAGAAAATGTCATTGATGTATTCAAGTTATATAAATGAAGCAGAACTTTTCTGTCATGCATGCTGAGTTAAACTATTACATAGTTTAAATTTACTCAGAAAATTCTGAACATAGTTTCCCTATGGTTCAAAGTAGGAAAGTGTTATTATGTTGACTAATACATGCCCTGAATTCAAATGGGCTTAGGGAAATTTGGGACTTTAAAGAAATATTGACATACAGGCCAGGTGCAGTGGCTCACACTTGTAATCCCAGCACTTTGGGAGGCCAAGGCAGGTGGATCACTTGAGATCAGGAGTTCAAGACCAGCCTGGACAACATGGTGAAACCCTGTCTCTACTAAAAATACAAAAATTAGCCAGGTGTGGTGGCAAGCACCTGTAATCCCAGCTACTCTGGAGGCTGAGGCAGGAGAATCTCTTGAACCTGGGAGACAGAGGTTGCAGTGAGCCAAGATTGTGCCACTGCACTCCAGCCTAGGCAACAGAGTGAGATTCTGTCAAAAAGGAAAGAAAGAGAGATAGAAAAGAAGGAAGCAAGGAAGGAAGGAAGGAAGGAAAGAAGGAAGGAAGGAAGGAAGGAAGGAAGAGTCTTGACATACAACCATATGTAATAAAGCCTGAATATCAACAGGGAAACCCAAGGCTTTAGGAGAAACATTGCTTATGATAAAAAATATTCCTGCTGAAGGAGAAAGGCTGATACAGTTCCAGAAAAAAATGTATATCTAAACTTTAGGTGAAGTTTTTTTCTGGCTTTGCAGTAATTACCCCAATATCCTCAATCTTCTCTAAAAGTCTAAGCTGTCCAGTATTTATATTGATTGTGCTCTATAGAACCTGGGTTCATCCTTGGAGCAATATATGAAAGAAAACAGAAAACAGCCACAGGAGCCTGGAGGGACAGAGGAGCTGGTCGCTTTGTGGACCACTGTACACCTGAGAAAGGTGACTCTTGAAAGGAAAAGAGGTAGGAAGACACGGGATCCTGCTGCCTCTTGGGTGGACACCATGCAGGTGGGAACACTTTGGTTATACACAATTCCTTTCCTATCTACAAGGTTGCATCCTGTCACATTTTATGAAAATTAGTGAGACAGCATACATGGCAGTTGTTTTTTTATACACACATAAAATAAGTAAAATGAATAAGTAAATAATATAAATAAATGAGTGGAAGAATGAATGAGGAGGAAGAAAAAGCAAAGGAAGAGAGTGGAATGAAAAGAAACAAAAAGAAAGGAAAGGAAGAAGCACTATCACTAAATATGAAAATCAGAAAGAAAGAAAAGAAAAATAAATGACTAGGAAAATAAATTTGGAATGAAATAGATTAAAAGAATGACAAAAATATAAGAAATTTAAAGTAACTGGAAAAGAAAATAAAAGAAAGACCCAATTGTTAGAAAATGCCTAGTTTTCCAAACAACATTTCAAGTTTTTTCAATATTCTGTGGGAGTCACACATGTAAAGAGAATGATGGTTTCATCTGAAGGAGAGTGGACAAATATCAATGGAAAGATTACTCTAAAATATTGGTTTTTAAAGTATCTGGTGATTTTTGTTCTCTTATCACTTTTTACATTTGGAATCAATCATGCTAAAAGGATAGTTCACTAATATTAGGTTTCTACATACAGTTAACAAAGTTAATAGAGAAGACATTAGGTTGAGAGAGCTCTACCACTTTGATTTTCTGTGTAAACAAACTGAAGTCCGAGGTAACCAGTAAAACAAAACTAGACTTAACCAATCAGAAACCTCCAGCTAACCTCTAACTAGGGACTTTCCATCAGATAATGCCCAAATAAGCCAAATGCTGAGCTGTTGCCAATCAGTAATTTCTTCACTTTGCTTCTATAATCACCTTATGAAAGTCCACTGCCAAAACTGATGAGGCAGAGCTCTCTGAATCTCTTCTGGTCCTAAAGCTGCCCAGTTCATGAATGGATCCTTGCTCAAATAAACTCTGCTAACTTTAATCTGTCTGAAGTTTTTTTTTAGACAGTAACTTACAACAAAATATTTCTTCATATTTCAAAAAGCACAGTAAATCATGAGGCAGGTATTAAAGAATTCATCAACCCTTTTGAAGGCCATTATTATTATTACATTAAAAAATAATTAATATTTAAAATGATATGGTTTAAAGACGTTAAACCCTTGGTGGAGTAAAGAATTGTCCTAAAAATAATACTGGAGATTGGTTGTATAACACTGTGAATGTACTTAACACTAGTGAATTATACACTTTAAAATATCTAAAATGGTAAATTTTATGTTATAGGCTTTACTATAATTTTTTAAAATTTTAAAAATTAAAGATATCTTAGATCATAGAGCAAGAACATTAATGATTCAGGGAGAAGCACTTAGTTATAATAAATCTGATATAAATTTAAATTGCAAAATCTAAATACCTATCCTAAAGTGATGATTTTGTATTTGTAAATACCTTAAAATTAGGCATGTGGGGAATTGTGAACGTAATAACATAGTTGCCTAGGAGATCAAATTTTGTAAAATGAAACAGAGCCTGAATCCAAAAGTGATTAACTTCCAGAAGCTTGATAAATAAACATCCACAAGATTTTAAACCTTAAAAAATTTTGATTTTGCTATTATCTCTGAGACTGCAATGCTTGAAATTATATGCGTGCATATTTTGTATTATGCTATCTAACTATCTTCTTATCCCCTCTTTGCTAACCTGTAACATCCACATCTCCCCTGCTTCTCTTATGGGGGACCCAGGTAAGTAGCTACAGCTGTTTACTTCTCTTTCCCTTGGCATCAATTGTTGGGTTTCAGCTTAAGTTGTTTAAGGAAACGTCATCACTCAAAACTGCCTTTGGCAAAATGCCTCAGATGCTAGCCTGTGAAGAAAAAATTATATGCTGAACTTTAGAGAAAATCATTATATTACGTGTGGTGAGAAAATATGAAAATTCTCACATATAGAGACCCTCTAGGAAACTGAGGTCTTGATTCTACCTACATGTAAGGGCATGAAGAAGTAAAACAGGAGTGAGATAGACTGTCCCATTGTGAGGAAGGGTATTTAACAGATTTAGGTAGAAAACAGCCAAGCATCAACCGTGCCCCTCTCTCCTCCAAGAAGCTCTTTCCCTAATAGCCTAAGTAATACTAATAGATGGACCTGCATTGAGTGAGAGCAGAGGCCTGAGCACCTAACACCTCCACTATCATGTAGATTGTTAAGGGGCAGACACTTCCACTTTTTGTTGGTTCTCCTGTGATAGAAACATTTAATTTATCAGTACTTACACTCTTCCATTAAGACTCCCCTGCTTCCAGCGTTACAAGGAATAGAAGGCCATGAGTATATCAGTTATGCTTGAGTGAGGTCACTGATGTGAACGCAGGTAGGAGAAGCAAAATACAGCCTGGCAGCTTTGCTGCAAAGGCTGCCAATTTGAATGCCTAAGGAGGGGCTTAGTGGGAACTGTGAACTGCTTTGAACCAGAGTAAAAAGTGCCTTATGAGAAGAAAGTCTAGGGTTACCAGATCTTCTGGTTTGTCAAGAAATGCTGAGATATCTGGATTTTAACATGAAATATCCTGACTTTCAAAGGTTGGAAAGCAATTCAAATTTTTCAACACTATGTGAAGGCAAAACTCCAGATGCCCGAGGGCTATATTCAGACTGCAGGTTATCAAATCGTGACCTCAGCTTTCCATACCAAAGACTGAGCAGCTGGAGGGGGACTGGAAGGGAGAGATAAGAAAAACTGAGCTTTAGATAGCTGTTAAATGGAGTGGAATTTGGAGAGAAGGAGATTCTTAAGGGAAAATCTTAGGGTTGTTTTCTGTGTAATGGGTGGTGTAAATCCATTTGTAAACCAAAACACCTTCAGTGCTTTTAAAATTGGATTTGTATTTTTTTGGATATGACAACATGCTAATACAGGCTTTAGAGTAAGAGGGAAAAGACTTAGCTATACATGTTTACATTTACAAATGATAAATATTGAACTGCCAAATTTTTATGAAAAGATCCTATTGGATTTCATGTCACAGTTTACGATAAAACCACAACTCTCAGAGACTTAGTAAGGCCATCAGAGCTGTTCAAATAGAGTATAAAGGTGTAATGCCTCACCAGGTTATTACTATTTCTAGCTAGCAGATGAACCCAACCCAGAGCATAAGTATGAAAAGATGGACTGTAATACTTTCAAGATATCTATTTTGTAATCTCCAGACATACACACACATGTGCACACACACACATCTGACTCTATAATAAATGCTATGGACTGAATCATGCCTTCTCATATTCACATGTTGAAGCCCTAGTCCTCAATGTGATGGGGTTTAGATGAGGTCATCAGTGTGCAGCCTTCATGAATGTGTTCAGTGCCCTTATAAGAAGAGACACAAGAGAGTTCTCCCTGCCTCCCCGGTCCCCCTGACTCTGCCATGTGAGGATACAGCAAGAAAGCAGTCATCTACAAGCCAGAAAGAGGGCCTTCATCAGGCCCAACCGTGCTCTTACCCAAATTTCAGACTTCCCATAATTCCAGAACTGTGAGAAATAAATGTCTGCTGTTTAAGCCACTCAGTCTATGAAATTTTGTTACAGCAGCCATAGCCGACTAAGACAAATGGATACTCCAAAATTGCAACATATCATTGGGAAGGTATTTATAAATACCTAATTCTTCCAGTGAGTCTTCAAACTACCTCCATATGTGGGCAAAAATCTCCATTATCCAACCAACCTACTGAGGTACTAAGTGGCTAAGTTGGCTGGACTTCCTGGGTCAGTAGGGACTTCACCAAGGGGACTTTCCTCTAAGCCAAAATGAGTCATAGCTGCAAGCTAAGGGATTGAAACTTCAACCAATCATATAGGGAGTTTAAGCTATAGCTGCAGCCTGATGGTTTTAACCAATCAGGCCCTCCAACCCACAAGCAGATAGAAAATAAGCTAATCTTATAGGACAGAAAAAGGAAAAGGGGAGGAGTCATAAGGGGATATAAGCATAAGACACCCAAGCCAGAAACAGCAACCCTTCTGGGTCCCCTTCCACTGCATGGAAGCTTTACTTTCACTTTTGCTTTAATAAATCTTGCTGCAGCACTCTTTGGGTCCGCGCGTTTCTCTAATCGAGCTCTAACACCTGCTGCTGCGGTCCATGGCTTCATTCCTTGAAGCCCATGAGACCACAAACCCTTCCATAGAGAAAAATCTTTGATCAGAAGAAGACTTCTCATCTCATTTCTAAAATAAATTTTAAAATCAGTCCTTAAGTAGGGTGTAATTATAGAATACCCGACTATTAACTGAATGTTTGGGTCCCCCTAAAATTCATATGTTGAAATCTAACTCCCAAGGTGATGGTATTAGCAGGTAGGGCTTTTGGGAGGTAACTAGGTCATGAGGGTGGGACTCTAATGAATGGGATTAATGCCCTTAAGAGAAGAGGCCAGAGAGCTAGCTCTCTGTACTCTCTCCCATGTGAGAATACAAAGAAAAGATAACCATCTGCAAATCAGGAAGAGGGTCCTCACTAAACATGAGATCTGCTAGCACTCTGATCTTGGATTTCCTAGCCTCCAAAGTATGAGAAATAAATGTTTGTTGTTTAAGCCACACAATCTATGGTATTCTGTTATAGCAGCTCAAGCTAACCAAAGCGGACTCCCTTCACATTTTATATTCTTAGTTATTTTACTTATTTAAGTATGGTTTTTAAATTTAGTTCTAGAGGCATCTATAACATTATAAATATTACTTGTACAATCTACACTCCCTGTTACATTAAATGAGAGAGTTAAGTTTGTTTAAAGAAAATAGGCTTGAAGTCAGCAAGACCAGATTCTATTGTGACTCTGCCACTTACTAGTTATGTGATATGGGGCACCTTATTTAAGCAATCTGAGAAAAGAATTCCAGCTCTGTAAAATAAGGATATTACTGCAACTGCCTTTGCAAAAATTTTAACAGTGAGAAAATTATGGCAATAAAAGGGATCTGATCTAACTAACCCCATCTTGCCTTTAACCTCCAAGCTGTCCTTAATCATTCCTGGGCTAAGGCCAAGCTAACATTGAGAGACATTTAGTTTATAGTTTAAACGATAACAGCCCTTCTCCCAAACTAAAACACCTTTGTAAAGCTAATGAAAGACCACCAGGTTAGGAGGATAAGAAGGCTAAATTCTGCCAAGGTGTAGACATAAATGATTACCAGCAATTATTCTGGAGGTCACAAGGTTTGCAACTTCTCCAATTACTCCTGCAGATAACATACGTATTGTAGAACCTAAGACTGGTCTCTTGAAATGTTTTTTCAGGTTTTTGCATTTCTGACAATCAGTGGCTCCACCTGGACCCACCAACTGGTCCTGTGGCCCCATATAGAAGCAGACTCCCTGGCTCAACAAACTATCCTGAAAAAAACCCTAGCCTCCAAATTTTCAGAGAGATTGATGTGAGTGTTTGATTTGAGGGACTGATTAAACTCTTTATTGCAATGCTATGGTCTCAGTGAATTGATTTTGTCTGTGCAGTGGGCAGGAAGAACCCATTAGGCAGTTACACTACTAACTAGCTACAGGATTGTTAAAAATATTAAGATTTGTAAATGTATCTAACCCATAGAAAACCATAATATTTATTTTGCCATTTCTCCTAAAAGTGAAGCTATTGCTTAAATCTAACCGAAAGAATTATCCTTGGGTAGTTGTGAGGAGCTAAGTTTTCCCTAGGGGCAATTGCTAACTCAGGAAGAGGTAGCTAAAAGTATAAGAAGCTGATCAGAACTTCCAACAGGCCAAAGGGACAAAACTAAAAATTAAAAAAAAAAAAATTGGACTCCAGGGTCCTCCAAAGTTGAGGCCTCTTCAAAACTGCAAGCTATAGGTCAGAACACTGAAGGACCATACACTAACAGAGACGTTGAACAGGAAGCAGGTGATTTATGTACTGAAGCCTAACTTTGAATTAACTCAATGCACAAAACTAAATTAAGAAAATCTTAGCTTTCGATTGCCCCAAATTACCAGAAAAAAAAAAAAAAACTGTTACAGGAAAGGGGTCCTGATCCAGACCCCAGGAGAGGGTTCTTGGATCTCACACAAGAAAGAATTTACAGTGAGTCCACAGTGCAAAGTGAAAGCAAGTTTATTAAGGAAGTAAAGGAATAAAAGAATGGCTACTCCATAGACCCAAAGAGCAGAGCTGAAGGCTGCTGGTTGCCCACTTTTATGGTTATTTCTTGATGATATGCTAAACAAGGGGTGGATTATTCATGCCTCCCCGTTTTAGACCATATAAGGTAACTTCTGACATTGCCGTGGCATTTGTAAACTGTCATGGTGTTGGTGGGAGTGTAGCAGTGAGGACAACCAGAGGTCACTCTCGTCACCATTTTGGTTTTGGTGGGTTTTGGCCCGCCCCTTTACTGCAACCTGTTTTATCAGCAAGGTCTTTATGACCTGTATTTTGTGCTGACCTGCTAACTCATCCTGTGACTTAGAATGTCTTAACCATCTGGGAATGCAGCCCAGTAGGTTTCAACCTTATTTTACCCAGCTCCTATTTAAGATGGAGTTGCTCTGGTTCACACACCTCTGACAAAACCACATATCCTCTCTAGAGAAAGATACCATAATGCTAAGCTGGAAAATATTTTTTAATTTTTTCACATAAAATAACTAGCAGTCAGCCGGGCACGGTGGCTCATGCCTGTAATCCCAGCACTTTGGGAGGCCGAGGCGGGTGGATCACAAGGTCAGGAGATCAAGACCATCCTGGCTAACACGGTGAAACCCTGTCTCTACTAAAAATACAAAAAATTAGCCAGGCGAAGTGGCGGGCGCCTGTAGTCACAGCTACTCGGGAGACTGAGGCAGGAGAATGGCATGAACCTGGGAGGCGGAGCTTACAATGAGCCAAGATCGTGCCACTGCACTCCAGCCTGGGCAACAGAGCGAGACTCCGTCTCAAAAATAAATAAATAAATAAATAAAAAATAACTAGCAGTCAATAAAAAATGATCATGAATATGAAGAATCAAAACAATATGAAAGAAGAAAAAAAACAGACATTAGTAGGTTTGAGAGGCAAAGTTAAGTCACTTAGAAACAGTTTGATCCTTTCTAGTTTTGCTTTTAAGCAGGACTGCTTCACAGGTATATGACCTGGTCAGTCACACAGGACCAAAGGTTAGAGAGGCTGTAGGCTTGATTTGGTACTCTACTCTTGCCAACGTGGAAGTCTTAATTTTGAATAAGGGGTCTGGCATTTCCATTTGGCATTGGGTCCCTCAAATTATGTGGCTGGTCCTACTTTTAAGATTCATTAGATGAGACCAGAGCAATGTTTAATCTAGGGCTGAGTATACTACTGAAGCAAGACTTTGCAAAGTACTCCACCCAATGCCCTGTGAAAAATCAGATTTCCCAGTTGGACTGGAGGGATCAGGTGCTGTTCCCAGCCCTGTGTGAGGGCATGGTATTTTCTCTAATATTCTCAGTTAGTTTTTCCATCTACCTCAGATAGTATCTTCACATGCACATGCTGATGTGTTCTCCTGAATACCCACAGAGACTCTGAAGATTCATAAAATTCTCCCTATGTAGCTGTCCCTCTCTGGTTTTGTTTCTTGAAAACCAAGGGAGTCCATCTGGGATCTCCGTTCCCGCACCATGGCCTGCAAACTCACTTAGTAATCAATTGTTTGGCCACCTCATTTATTTCTCATCTCATAGGTATCACTGCCCTTCATTGTCTAACATCTTGTGTTTTGAAAACAGTTGTTACATATCTTGTCCAGTTTTGTTGTTGTTACTATCCCAGATGGAATAATTTATCCCATCCTGTTACTCCATATTGGTTGGAAATAGTAGTCCAAAAGCATTTTATGTAACAGCTTACAAAAGTCTAAACATCCCCAATATTGATGAACGGTAATATAGATACACAAATTGTGGTATGATCCTACGGAAAAAAATGCCATTAAAGAAATAAAAATAAATAAAGTGCAACCACATTCAGCAACAAGGATGAATTTCATAAGTAATGTTGAGCAAAAGAAATAGAACACAAAATAATGTAATAATGCATGCTGTATGACTCCAACACAGGCAAAACTAAACTGCTGTTAGAATTCAGGATAATGGTTATCTTTCAAAAGAAGAGAGGGAGAGAGGGTCATAATCTGAGGGAACATAAAGGAGGCTTCTGTGCCCTGGCCATGTTTTTTTTCTTGACCTGAGTGGTGGTTATGCAAGTGATCTCTTTATGATAATTACTGAATGTTCTTTGTACTTTTCAGAATTCTAACAAGTGCATTTGGAAAGCATTTGTGTCAAGTATATAACATATTTGCTGAGAGTATTCTAAAATTCCTGAGACACAAGCTATACGTGCTTACTAAAATAGAGTGGTTTTTGACATTGATATACATTGCCATGATGTATGTATGTTATATGTCAAGAAGCTTCTCTGCTAAAACAAGCCAAATTTCACTAAATTGTTTCCTTGTCTATGGAGACTTTTAAGTGTATTTGTTTGCAATCATTTCCATTAAAATATTTAGTACATGACTAACATCTTAAATTTTGGGTTATTGATAGGTTGCTTGACGTACCCTTTGAAGTTCACGGGCACTGCAAAGAATGCATTTTTGTAGCTGATCCAGCTCAAATGCCCAGATTCATCCACATCTGCAGCTTATGTCACAGGGCTGGCAGCTAACAGAAACCATCAGATCTGCCTTTGTTTTCTTATCAAATCATATGTGATAATGTCACAACCAGTAAGTTGTGTTTTCAGGTATGTGTTTGTACTGACTTGACAGTGAACCTAAAAAGTGAAATAAATATGAAGAACGAGAAATTCTAAATTCTCACCCTTCAGGGGTGTTGGTATTATCAATTTGCCTGTGTTGTCTTTAAACACACACACACACATACACACACACACACACACACACACACACACATCTTCTTTAGCTCTGGTGTATAGAAAAGCAGGACAAATCCTACATTGACAAATTAATGACAGTAGTAAGCTAAGTCATTTTATTTTATTTTATTTTATTTTTCTTTATTTATTATTATTATACTTTAAGTTTTAGGGTACATGTGCACAATGTGCAGGTTAGTTACATATGTATACATGTGCCATGCTGGTGCGCTGCACCCACTAACTCGTCATCTAGCATTAGGTACATCTCCCAGTGCTATCCCTCCGCCCTCCCCCCACCGCACAACAGTCCCCAGAGTGTGATGTTCCCCTTCTTGTGTCCATGTGTTCTCATTGTTCAATTCCCACCTATGAGTGAGAATATGTGGTGTTTGGTTTTTAGTTCTTGTGATAGTTTACTGAGAATGATGATTTCCAATTTCATCCATGTCCCTACAAAGGACATGAACTCATCATTTTTTATGGCTGCATAGTATTCCATGGTGTATATGTGCCACATTTTCTTAATCCAGTCTATCATTGTTGGACATTTGGGTTGGTTCCAAGTCTTTGCTATTGTGAACAATGCCGCAATAAACATACGTGTGCATGTGTCTTTATAGCAGCATGATTTATAGTCCTTTGGGTATATACCCAGTAATGGGATGGCTGGGTCAAATGGTATTTCTAGTTCTAGATCCCTGAGGAATTGCCACACTGACTTCCACAATGGTTGAACTAGTTTACAGTCCAATCAACAGTGCAAAAGTGTTCCTATTTCTCCACATCCTCTCCAGCACCTGTTGTTTCCTGACTTTTTAATGATCGCCATTCTAACTGGTGTGAGATGGTATCTCATTGTGGTTTTGATTTGTATTTCTCTGATGGCCAGTGATGGTGAGCATTTTTTCATGTGTCTTTTGGCTGCTTAAATGTCTTCTTTTGAGAAGTGTCTGTTCATGTCCTTCGCCCACTTTTTGATGGGGTTGTTTGTTTTTTTCTTGTAAATTTGTTTGAGTTCATTGTCGATTCTGGATATTAGCCCTTTGTCAGATGAGTATGTTGCAAAAATTTTCTCCCATTTTGTAGGTTGCCTGTTCACTCTGATGGTAGTTTCTTTTGCTGTGCAGAAGCTCTTTAGTTTAATTAATTTGTCAATTTTGGCTTTTGTTGCCATTGCTTTTGGTGTTTTAGACATGAAGTCCTTGCCCATGCCTATGTCCTGAATGGTAATGCCTAGGTTTTCTTCTAGGGTTTTTATGGTTTTAGGTCTAACGTTTAAGTCTTTAATCCATCTTGAATTGATTTTTGTATAAGGTTTAAGGAAGGGATCCAGTTTCAGCTTTCTACATATGGCTAGCCAGTTTTCCCAGCACCATTTATTAAATAGGGAATCCTTTCCCCATTGCTTGTTTTTCTCAGGTTTGTCAAAGATCAGATAGTTGTAGATATGTGGCGTTATTTCTGAGGGCTCTGTTCTGTTCCATTGATCTATATCTCTGTATATCTTCTTTCATATTGGTACCAGTACCATGCTGTTTTGGTTACTGTAGCCTTGTAGTATAGTTTGAAGTCAGGTAGTGTGATGCCTCCAGCTTTGTTCTTTTGGCTTACGATTGACTTGGCGATGTGGGCTCTTTTTTGGTTCCATATGAACTTTAAAGTAGTTTTTTCCAATTCTGTGAAGAAAGTCATTGGTAGCTTGATGGGGATGGCATTGAATCTCTAAATTACCTTGGGCAGTATGGCCATTTTCACGATATTGATTCTTCCTACCCATGAGCATGGAATGTTCTTCCATTTGTTTGTATCCTCTTTTATTTCCTTGAGCAGTGGTTTGTAGTTCTCCTTGAAGAGGTCCTTCGCATCCCTTGTAAGTTGGATTCCTAGGTATTTTATTCTCTTTGAAGCAATTGTGAATGGGAGTTCACTCATGATTTGGCTCTCTGTTTGTGTGTTGTTGGTGTATAAGAATGCTTGTGATTTTTGTACATTGATTCTGTATCCTGAGACTTTGCTGAAGTTGCTTATGAGCTTAAGGAGATTTTGGGCTGAGACAATGGGGTTTTCTAGATATACAATCATGTTGTCTGCAAACAGGGACAATTTGACTTCCTCTTTTCCTAATTGAATACCCTTTATTTCCTTCTCCTGCCTAATTGCCCTGGCCAGAACTTCCAACACTATGTTGAATAGGAGTGGTGAGAGAGGGCATCCCTGTCTTGTGCCAGTTTTCAAAGGGAATGCTTCCAGTTTTTGCCCATTCAGTATGATATTGGCTGTGGGTTTGTCATAGATAGCTCTTATTATTTTGAAATACATCCCATCAATACCTAATTTATTGAGAGTTTTTAGCATGAAGGTTGTTGAATTTTGTCAAAGGCCTTTTCTGCATCTATTGAGATAATCATGTAGTTTTTGTCTTTGGTTCTGTTTATATGCTGGATTACATTTATTGATTTGCATGTATTGAACCAGCCTTGCATCCCAGGGATGAAGCCCACTTGATCATGGTGGATAAGCTTTTTGATGTGCTGCTGGATTCGGTTTGCCAGTATTTTATTGAGGATTTTTGCATCAATGTTCATCAAGGAAATTGGTCTAAAATTCTCTTCTTTGGTTGTGTCTCTGCCCGGCTTTGGTATCAGGATGACGCTGGCCTCATAAAATGAGTTAGGGAGGATTCCCTCTTTTTCTATTGATTGGAATAGTTTCAGAAGGAATGGTACCAGTTCCTCCTTGTACCTCTGGTAGAATTTGGCTGTGAATCCATCTGGTCCTGGACTCTGTTTGGTTGGTAAGCTATTGATTATTGCCACAATTTCAGAGCCTGTTATTGGTCTATTCAGAGATTCAACTTCTTCCTGGTTTAGTTTTGGGAGAGTGTATATGTCGAGGAATTTATCCATTTCTTCTAGATTTTCTAGTTTATTTGCGTAGAGGTGTTTGTAGTATTCTCTGATGGTAGTTTGTATTTCTGTGGGATCGGTGGTGATATCCCCTTTATCATTTTTTATTGTGTCTATTTGATTCTTCTCTCTTTTTTCTTTATTAGTCTTGCTAGCAGTTTATCAATTTTGTTGATCCTTTCAAAAAACTAGCTCCTGGATTCATTAATTTTTTGAAGGGTTTTTTGTGTCTCTATTTCCTTCAGTTCTGCTCTGATTTTAGTTATTTCTTGCCTTCTGCTAGCTTTTGAATGTGTTTGCTCTTGCTTTTCTAGTTCTTTTACTTGTGATGTTAGGGTGTCAATTTTGGATCTTTCCTGCTTTCTCTTGTGGGCATTTAGTGCTATAAATTTCCCTCTACACACTGCTTTGAATGCGTCCCAGAGATTCTGGTATGTTGTGTCTTTGTTCTCGTTGGTTTCAAAGAACATCTTTATTTCTGCCTTCATTTCGTTATGTACCCAGTAGTCATTCAGGAGCAGGTTGTTCAGTTTCCATGTAGTTGAGCGGTTTTGAGTGAGATTCTTAATCCTGAGTTCTAGTTTGATTGCACTGTGGTCTGAGAGATAGTTTGTTATAATTTCTGTTCTTTTACATTTGCTGAGGAGAGCTTACTTCCAACTATGTGGTCAATTTTGGAATAGGTGTGGTGTGGTGCTGAAAAAAATGTATATTCTGTTGATTTGGGGTGGAGAGTTCTGTAGATGTCTATTAGGTCCACTTGGTGCAGAGCTGAGTTCAATTCCTGGGTATCCTTGCTGACTTTCTGTCTCGTTGATCTGTCTAATGTTGACAGTGGGGTGTTAAAGTCTCCCTTTTTAATGTGTGGGAGTCTAAGTCTCTTTGTAGGTCACTCAGGACTTGCTTTATGAATCTGGGTGCTCCTGTATTGGGTGCATATATATTTAGGATAGTTAGCTCTTCTTGTTGAATTGATCCCTTTACCATTATGTAATGGCCTTCTTTGTCTCTTTTGATCTTTGTTGGTTTAAAGTCTGTTTTATCAGAGACTAGGATTGCAACCCCTGCCTTTTTTTGTTTTCCATTTGCTTGGTAGATCTTCCTCCATCCTTTTATTTTGAGCCTATGTGTGTCTCTGCATGTGAGATGGGTTTCCTGAATACAGCACACTGATGGGTCTTGACTCTTTATCCAATTTGCCAGTCTGTGTCTTTTAATTGGAGCATTAATCCATTTACATTTAAAGTTAATATTGTTATGTGTGAATTTGATCCTGTCATTATGATGTTAGCTGATGATTTTGCTCGTTAGTTGATGCAGTTTCTTCCTAGTCTCGATGGTCTTTACATTTTGGCATGATTTTGCAGCGGCTGGTACCGGTTGTTCCTTTCCATGTTTAGCGCTTCCTTCAGGAGCTCTTTTAGGGCAGGCCTGGTGGTGACAAAATCTCTCAGCATTTGCTTGTCTGTAAAGTATTTTATTTCTCCTTCACTTATGAAGCTTAGTTTGGCTGGATATGAAATTCTGGGTTGAAAATTCTTTTCTTTAAGAATGTTGAATATTGGCCCACACTCTCTTCTGGCTTGTAGAGTTTCTGCCGAGAGATCTGCTGTTAGTCTGATGGGCTTCCCTTTGAGGGTAACCCGACCTTTCTCTCTGGCTGCCCTTAACATTTTTTCCTTCATTTCAACTTTGGTGAATCTGACAATTATGTGTCTTGGAGTTGCTCTTCTCGAGGACTATCTTTGTGGTGTTCTCTGTATTTCCTGAATCTGAATGTTGGCCTGCCTTGCTAGATTGGGGAAGTTCTCCTGGATAATATCCTGCAGAGTGTTTTCCAACTTGGTTCCATTCTCCCCGTCACTTTCAGGTACACCAATCAGACGTAGATTTGGTCTTTTCACATAGTCCCCTATCTCTTGGAGGCTTTGCTCATTTCTTTTTATTCTTTTTTCTCTAAACTTCCCTTCTCGCTTCATTTCATTCACTTCATCTTCCATCGCTAATACCCTTTCTTCCAGTTGATTGCATCGGCTCCTGAGGCTTCTGCATTCTTCACGTAGTTCTCGAGCCTTGGTTTTCAGCTCCATCAGCTCCTTTAAGCACTTCTCTGTATTGGTTATTCTAGTTATACATTCTTCTAAATTTTTTTCCAAGTTTTCAACTTCTTTGCCTTTGGTTTGAATGTCCTCCCGTAGCTCAGAGTAATTTGATCATCTGAAGCCTTCTTCTCTCAGCTCGTCAAAGTCATTCTCCGTCCAGCTTTGTTCCACTGCTGGTGAGGAACTGCGTTCCTTTGGAGGAGGAGTGGTGCTCTGCTTTTTAGAGTTTCCAGTTTTTCTGCTCTGTTTTCCCCCCATCTTTGTGGTTTTATCTACTTTTGGTCTTTGATGATGGTGATGTACAGATGGGTTTTTGGTGTGGATGTCCTTTCTGTTTGTTAGTTTTCCTTCTAACAGACAGGACCCTCAGCTGCAGGTCTGTTGGAGTACCCGGCCGTGTGAAGTGTCAGTCTGCCCCTGCTGGGGGATGCCTCCCAGTTAGGCTGCTCGGGGGTCAGGGGTCAGGGAGCCACTTGAGGAGGCAGTCTGCCCGTTCTCAGATCTCCAGCTGCATGCTGGGAGAACCACTGCTCTCTTCAAAGCTGTCAGACAGGGACATTTAAGTCTGCAGAGGTTCCTGCTGTCTTTTTGTTTGTCTGTGCCCTGCCCCCAGAGGTGGAGCCTACAGAGGCAGGCAGGCCTCCTTGAGCTGTAGTGGGCTCCACCCAGTTAGAGCTTCCTGGCTGCTTTGTTTACCTAAGCAAGCCTGGGCAATGGCGGGCACCCCTCCCCCAGCCTTGCTGCCACCTTGCAGTTTGCTCTCAGACTGCTGTGCTAGCAATCAGCGAGACTCCATGGGCATAGGATCCTCCCAGCCATGTGCAGGATATAATCTCCTGGTGCGCTGTTTTTTAAGCCCGTCGGAAAAGTGCAGTATTTGGGTGGGAGTGACCCGATTTTCCAGGTGCTGTCTGTCACCCCTTTCTTTGACTAGGAAAGGAAACTCCCTGACCCCTTGTGCTTCCCGAGTGAGGCAATGCCTTGCCCTGCTTAGGCTCGTGCATGTTGTGCGCACCCACTGTCCTGCACCCACTGTCTGGCACTCCCTAGTGAGATGAACCCAGTACCTCAGATGGAAATGCAGAAATCACCCATCTTCTGCGTCGCTCACGCTGGGAGCTGTAGACCGGAGCTGTTCCTATTCGGCCATCCTGGCCCCTCCCTCCCGCTAAGTCATTTTAAACTGGATAGCTGAGATATTTGGATTTGCATTTTGATGGAGGTTTTCAGAAAGATAATGTGTAATCCACTGTGTTATCCGCTAGATAGAGAAGTAGTTTGTGGTGGAAGAAAAGGGAGGGTATTTGAAGGCAGGAGCTCAGAATTGGGCTTTTCACCCCACCACTTAATAGCTGTGCTACCTCCACTAGTCACCAAATTAATTTAATTTAATTATCATTTTTCCCATCTGTGACATGAGAACTGCTTCACTGGGTAGTTATGGATATAAGATGAGGAAAATGTGTTTTATGCCCAAAAATGTGTGAGACTACCAACTAAATGTTTAAACTGAGACTCAGAAAAGGAAGTGACCCATTCAAGGTCACAACTAATTAAATACCTTGCATATAATGTTACCTTTTGTGGAAGAAACTTACTTCAGTCCTCCCATTCCAATGCCATGTTGCTCTTGCCAGTGCTGTGAGGACCTCAGCTACTAAGGCCATTAAGGTATTCTGAGCGGCAGGAATGCTGCAGTTGTTCTGACTAAAAAGCAAAAGTCATTGAGCATGATTCGAATTTAAATTAAATAATAGAGTTGTGTCAATGCAGGTGAACATGATAATTTTTCATTAATAGTTGTCGTAGCCTTTAATCAAAATTGACTCAACATGAGAGTAATCTTCTCAGCTGGACTTTATCAAATAATTTGCTTATATTCAGCTGATTTAACTCCTCAGCAATAAAGGGTAACTAACATCGGTTTTAAAAATAGACGGTATAATATTTTATCAGCTTCTGAATCCCCATTAGGGTTCAGATCTACCTGAAGTTCGGCTCCAGCTCTCCATCCTATGATTTTTGCTTTATTCACAATAAACTCACACAGTCTTCCCCCAGCATGTTTCCCCACATTTCACATGTAAAATATACCTTCAAGTAACGTATTAGGAAGAAGTAAAGTCATTGTGTGGAATAAAAAAGAAAGTACTATATAAATGTAAACAGTTATTGAGATGAGGAAAGAAGTTTATTGATTTTGATTGTAAAAGATCTTGTTGAACATGTACTTTTATACTATAGGTAATGGGAGGTTAAAACAAAAAGGCAACATAACATAAGAGAAAGTCTCTAATTTCATAGAACTCATAATCCCATTATGAAAACAATATGTGTGTCCATAAAATATCAACAGTACTAGGCATTTAATAATTAAAGACAGAATTACTTAGAATTGGAACTTAAGGATTTATGGGCTGGAGGAAATGATACTTAAACTGGGTTTAAGGCTAGGAAGTAAAGTTCCAAGTGCTTACAGAGATTGTGTCAGGGAACTTGTGGAGGAGATAAGGGGGATTTTAAATTCTTCTGGCTGAACAATCAATTTCTAGGTAATGGAAAATGATGGAGAGTTTTACGACTAACTCATAACCATATCTCAATGACCTAAGCTCCAAGTACACTTTGTTCCAAAATTGAGCTTTCAGCAAAATGTCCTTTCTATTATGATTCTGACACTAACTTAAAATGGGTTGAAATGCTGATAGATATATATTCTTTTAAACACCAAATCAGGAAGTAGAGAAATGGGACAGATAATTGATCTCCCCATTCCCATACTCATTAAGCATCCACTTGCTCTCTGGGAACACAGATTATGTGTACTCACAAAGCCTGGTGCATCGAGTAGGTGTGGATCCCTTAATATACTCGAAGAAAATGCCATATGAATGGATTAGAATATGTCTCATATTTGGTGAAGTAGAAGCATTTTCCACTGTCTACCTAAATGAGCCAGAACTATTCCCAATAGTTCTGCATCATAAATGAAGAGAAGGTAGATAGTTCTTCCAGGAATTCTTGAGTGCTTGCAGAACTTATTAATGTATTAATTTAGGAACAGAATTCCCAGGAATATAAACAACACTTGCCTCAAAATATCAAAACAATCTTGGGGAAAACAAACATGTATTTTTTAGAATTAAATTTTTTCTTTCCATTCAATCTAAATGATATATGTTTACAGAGAAGTGGTAGAGGTAAAATTCTCTCTCTCTCTCTTTCCTTGTCCCCTTTCCATGTATGTGTGTGTGGGTGTGTATGGGTATCTTTCTGAACAAAAAATATACTGTGAAAATACTGACTATAGCACAGTAGTAGAAAATATGTTAGAATCAGCTTAAATTAATTGTGAGGTTCCATGGTGTAATGGTGAGCACTCTGGACTCTGAATCCAGAATCAGCTTAAATTAAACCTATACTGTTACTGATAGCCTCAAAAACATTTAAAATTTTTTAAACTAATGAAAGTCTTCATTATTAACTTCATCATAATTGTTATCTACAATGAACTATTTTTAGTTTAATAAGCAGCTATAGATGCGAGTATTTTGATTTGAAGCATTTATTAAAATACATATTTTTTAAACTACCCAAGGCCAGGATTATAAGAGCATTTAGTTAGTCACTTTAGCATATATATTCATGGGTAGAGGGAGAGCAAAGAGAAGAATATAGAAAAAAAGAAAGCATTTACCTGACTGATTAAAGACTTTATGGAACCAGATATAGCCTTAGATTTCCTAAGGGGCAGCTTTAGACCACTGACTGCATTTTCCCTCTGTTCGTCTGATATCTCCAAATTGTAGAGCAATTGATGCTGTTTTAGGAACAAAGCAAATACTTAGTACATATATTTCAAATAATTAAAATATATAGAAATCTACAGCAATGCAAAAAAAAGTTACACTCCATGCACAGCCTAAATTACAAACAGTATAGGTTGAAACACTTCAATTCTCCAAAGACCACAACTCCCTTTGTCAACCAAAACCACGTTTTTTGCATTTTCCTGAAAACAATCATGGACCTTTAATGCAAGAATCTAAGAAGTAGCGATGATTCTGAAATTGATTGGTGGCTAAGACACTGGTTCACGTACTGCAGTTGGCTTTAATGGACTTTAAAAATAATTTTCTCTAGGACACCTCAGAGACATGAAACTAGATAATAGTGACAGGTAGAAGCCACTTTTTTTGGAAATTTCAAGGCATAGGTGAGGGAAAATTAAAGACAAAACTTAATGTGAAAGAATCTTAGAGATGACTCTTTATATATCATTTGGAACCACAGATTTCAAAGCAACTTTACACAGCATAATATTAATTGGAATTTGCAAACAAAAATAAAGCTTATGCCAAGTAAATGAATTTATACACACCTTTGTATAATTTGTTGGGATCCTCTATTTTTTGATGCATTGTATCTATTTCCAGGAAACATTGATGTGGTATGCAAAATTTTAAGATAAACCTCAACATTTCTATCCCCTAGAGTACACATCTCCTATAACACTCTTCACTTGAATCCAGGTGCCATCTATGATTATGATGGATGTCACTCCAGTGATTATGCTAAATTATACAGCAAAGAGATTTTGCAGATTAAGGTCCCAGATTAGTTTGAGTTCATCAAAAGGGTGATTATCCTATGCAGGCCTGACCTAACCAGGTGACCGTTTTAAAAGAGGGTCAACGTCTTTCCTAAAAGGGAAATTCAAAGAGATAAATTCACCTGCTGACTTTGAAGAAGCAAACTGCTTTGGATGAGGCCATGTGGCAGGGGGACCTCCAGTAGATAAAAGTGGCACCTGACTGACAGAACAAAAGAGCAGGGACTCAGTCTTACAATCCCAAGGAAGTGATTCTGTCGAGTTTGGGAGAGGACTCTGAGCTCCAGATTAGCAGGCAGCCCTGGTTGACACCTTGATTTCAGATGTGTGAGACGCTGAGCAGAGAACTCAGCTATGCCATATCCAGACTTCAGATGTGCCAAAACTGAGATAAGAAATGAGTATTATTTTAGGTTGCTGAACCAGTAGTAATTTGTTTTTCAGCACAGAAAACTAATACAGTCAATCTGTATTGAACAACTACTATTTTTTTCTGCTTCCTGTCTATCCATCTACCCATCACTTTTTCCTCTTTTTCTAGAAACAAGTCATATTTCCTTTAGCAAACTGGTCCTCACAAGTTCCGACCACATAATTCTCTTAGAGGTTGTTAGTCACAGTATTCTCTTCACACTGACCCTAGCAAAGGGTCTGTGACAATCCACACCAGTTATAGAACCCAGTGATAGTGGTCGGGCATGCTGAATGGCCCAGGCATTACCATTTGGCTCAAACAAGACCAAGAGAATTCCTCTATAGGAAGGTTCTTAAACTATCTAACAGGGAAACTGATTTTCACTCACTAAACTGAAACTATGCCCATGGCTCTGTTCTCTCTTTGTTTGCTGAATCCTGGAAAAAGCTTGACTTAATATAAGAGTATATGAAACCAATAAGTAGAAAGAAGCAGACAGGAAAGATGGGAAGAGAGAGACTTTATCCCAGTAAAGTCCCCAGTTCTAATTCTTGGAGCTGTTCTTGTCCCCACTCCACTTTTTTCTATTACTTGTGCTTCTAAAGTTAATTTTTATTGAGTTCTGGTAACCAAGAGTGCTGAATTGGGTTTTGGTACCAAAAGGGAGCTATTCATTATAATATCTCACTTTCTTACCCCAAAATTTCTAATGTAACACCCAGAATTTTTTCTCTTGCCTAGAGAAGGTAACTTAACCTAGAGAAGGTAAATCTTTGCTTTTGTTGTATATACCAAATGCTATAACGTGCCCTTTTGACTTATTAAGTAGGAGGAGAGTAGAAATGACACTCAACTCTTAATAAGATGAAAGAATTCAGACACAGACATGTGTTCAGTAAGGCTTTCTTTCTTTTTCATTCCCCACAAAGTTAGTCTTGTCAGGAAAATCACTGCACTCTTTGAGCAAGAAATTAAAATCCCTCAGATTGATATGAAAACACCATACCTTTCAGGCTACCAACTAAAAACGGAGGCCAACACAGGCAGAGTGATATGCTTTGGCTGTGTCCCCACCCAAGTCTCATCTTGAATTATAATTCCCATAATCCTCACGTGTCAAGGGAGGGACTTGGCGGGAGGTAATTAGATCATGGGGGTGGTTTCCCCCATGCTGTTCTCCTGATAGTGAGTGAGTTCTCATGAGATCCGAGGGTTTTATAAGCATCTTGCATTTCCCCTGCTTGCACTTCTCTCTCCTGCCACCATGTGAAGAAAGTCTTTACTTCCCTTTCACCATCTGCCATGATTGTAAGTTACCTGAGGCCTCCCAGGCCGAACTGTGAGTCAGTTAAACCTCTTTTCTTTATAAATTACCCCGCCTTAGGTATAATATCTTTATAGCAGTGTGAGATTGAACTAATTCACAGAGGATGACCAAGTGACTCAGTTTAGACAACTCCAAATGAGAAAATGTTATGGAATCATTTAGGACATTGTGCTGAGTCCTTAATTACAACCTACACTTAAGAATTCTGTGACACTCTGGATTTTGATACTCATTTACCTAATTCATCTGAAAGACATATTTATTTATAATCTTAGCCTTAAATCCTCATTGGTAATAATAAAGCTGTGATTTTCAGTTGGTGGTGGTCTCATTAGAGTATTGTAAAGTCCTAGGACACATTAGAAGAGAAACATTCTTTATGTAAGAACTAAAGCAAATACAGCTAAGAAGCCACACCTTTTATATCAGATCAGCTACTGCCTTTGATTTTTATCTCTGTGATGCAATTACTACAGTTTAATATACTTCTCCCATCTATGGTCCCTTACCCACCACACTAAAATTTAAAAAAGAAATTATACTTTTCTCATGTGGATTCAGAGATTAATTATCAAAATTAAGGAATAGCAATAACTTCATTGAAAGTAAAGTAAGGGAATGAATAGTGATTACTTCTTCCAGTCCTTCCTGTGTGAGGGTCATCTAAGAGAATATCATCCCGAATTCAGCTGCTGATTCCCAGGGAAACTGTCAGCAGTGGCATCCTGCAAAGATCTGCTCTATTTAAGTGACAAAAATGCTAATCAAAATGGAGAGGAAAATTTTATAACTAAATACAAAACTTCGATTTAATAATTATTTATCGAGGGAAAATTATTGACTGAGTAATGTAAGGACATGAAAAAAGTATGAAACATGGCCTCTACCCTCACACAATATAGTTGGGAAGAATTAAAAAAACCACAAAATTTCTAAGAAACAATAAAATATTATGTATCATTAGCTTCATGGAAGAGCTAAATATTGTTGAATGTCAGCAATATACATTTTGTAATTTTTAACTCCTCTAGTTTTCAGTGTCTTCATCAGTAAGATATGAACAATAATCTTCCCAAAGTGAGGGTTGCCGAGTCTGTCCCGCAGGCTCTGGCCGGGCGATGGATGGAAGAAGTTCGCTGACGTAGGTATTCTGCCTGACAGCGCGACTAAGGGACCACACGGCTCTGCCTCGCCGACGAGAGAGACCAGCAGCCACCGAGAGTGCAGGCCCCATAAGTCAGCCCCGCTCGAATTTATTTAGTACAGGTTTAATGACAAAGGCTTGGAGTAAACACAATTTGTGGGTAATAAACACTGTTGACCTCCCCTCCCCGCCCCGAGTAGAGAGCAGTCCTGCACACAAATGATCAAAGTTTGATTTCTGGAGGCAGGAGTAAATAAATTTATCTAGTTAAGGTCCTTTACATTCCCTTGTTATCTAACCCTTGCTCTTAAGAAAATTTAACCACCTTCAGCCAAATACTCTTTCGAAGCTTTTGCAAAACCTCCTGGACTTCCAAGAAGGTTTGCATCTTTCCCTATAATTTTTATAACTTTTCCCACCACCCTGACTGATCTCCTACAAGGATTAAATGGGATAAGGTGGAGGTACTCAATATGGGGTACTATTACTTTTCACATTTTTTATACACTATACTGTTGCCCTTTTCCCTACAGCCAAACAATTGAATATGAAAGATACAAACCTATTAAAGTGAGATTATTGTTCAGTAGGGTAAAGACTTACCAAACCAGGTGATCTATGTCAATAGAAACAAGATATAAACTCAGGAGCTCAAATCAAGCCAAAATAAACTTCTACTGAAAGAAACTTAAAGAGGGAGAGAAAGTGTAATTTGGTCCACTTCAGGGCTTAAATAACCTGAAAGAAGTCAATTAACTAATCAGAAACAGATTAAATAGTCTGATGCTCAATAAATGTATCTTGTGAAAAAATAAAAAAACAAGAATGAAAAAAGATACTTCCATGCACATGAAATCTAGGATTTGAGGGGCAAACCTGAATTTCAGTCTAGACAAATGGCAAACCAGTAGCTATAGGCCTTCACCATTTAATCCCTAGGATTTCCCCAGGGAAAGACAGGAATGAAGAAAAGTGTGTATGCTTTCTCAGCAAATATGGCTTCAGAAGAAACAATCTTGTTCACCTTCTAAACAGATTAAACCTAAGATACTCCTACCTAAAATTTCTGACACCATTACTGTGTGAGTTTGGGGCAAAAGAGACAGTGTATACCTTAGTCAATAAACAGAGCAGCTTAGATTTACGTACACAAAAATACGTATTAGATAAGAAATTGGAAGTGAAACAAGAGGTGACGGTTGAAGTCTGATCATTATTTTAAGCTCTGCAAAGCAGAATTAAATAACAAGACTGGTATTTATGATATTTGCTGTCATTTTAGACATGTGTCTTTGTAATATTTTGTTAGACTTACAAGATTTAGACATTTGTTGTTGCCCCATCTTGCAACCACAGTGTTTTTTACCAGTCAAGCACTGATCTGAACTACAGATCAAAGGTACATATCTAAACCATGGATTTTCATCTCATTATCCTTGTTAAATGAAATCAGAACACTTGACTGAAGCTACTGAAAAGATACATAAACCAGTATTACTAGACTTTATACTTAGATGAAATAAAATATGAAAAGTATGAATTTGGCAGTGTTACATCATATAATCACTTAATTCAGGAGAATTCAATCTTACTTGTTTATCTAGTTTTATGATGCCTGTAATTAAGTAATCAAAAAATTAAAAATAAGTAAAAATAAAAACAGTGTAAGTAGTGCAGTTAATTTTGTCTACCACTACATCCAGCAGGCACATACCTTATCCTAAAATGAGTGTGAGATAGGAAATGTGTAACTCCTATTATTTTAGTCTTTTACATTTCTAGCATTCCTGTGTATGTGAGCAATTTACTTCATTGAATGTAATTTAAATATTTAAAGATTAATATATATGTACATATATATACACACGTTTACATGTATATATATACACACCCACATACATACTTTTTTGACTCACCATAGCTCTTAAACACAAGCCAACCACTTGTTCCCTCTAAAAAAGAACATCACTGTATACATTATATATTTATAGGTGTGTAATGCTGCACAGGATTGTATTTTAAAAGCATCCATTTGTGCTCTATGAACCTTTCAGAGGTTTTTCAAATTTAACTTTGACTCTATAAAGTTTTATCCTTACCTATAGGCAGCAGTACCTAACCTCTACCAAGGCTGCCTCTATGCTTGTTAGTTTACAAGGGAAATAAGGTTTTGGGAAAACTAGAAAATTGAAGGCAGAAATACAGCTTAACATTGACTCTCTTTGTAATCACAGATGAAATGTCTTAAGAATCAAATCTGGAGGGCCCCAGATAGGGCAGAAGTAACCACAATTCAAAAAAAACATTACAAAAGATCAGATGTTGGTAAAATAATACTTCAGAGTGAAAAGTTTTTGGTCAGAAGCTTTCAAAAAATGATTACTTAATTGTCAAAATATGATAAATATGAGAAGAGAAAAAGCAGCTTTTAAAAGACTGACAAATCAGAAAGAGGTAGATATAACAAGTTTTGAGATCTGCCTTGAAGAAACTTAAAACAGAGAAATAAAAGTCAAGTGAGGAGTCAGGGTAGTGAAAACGGCTGTATAAAAACACCAAGGAGAGGAAAGAATGGGGAACAAATCAGAGTATCTCATTAAGGCCAGGGTGCCCCCAAAATGACAAGTATTATTCATGGAAATGTCTGTGAATGGAAACCATGAGGACAATTGCTTATGGGATCAAGAGGCTGTCTTTTCCATGGATTATTAGTGGCTGGGGAGCCATGACCCGAAACTATCCTTCCTCTTTGAGTGGGAGCCAAAAGAGATGTTAGAAAGTGATGATGGGAGGTCTAAGGAAAGATAAAATGATACGCCTAATGAGGGTTACTTTGGGAAATAGAATTAACCAGATCATGAGCCAAAGACAAAGAATGAGGCCATGGGCAAAGGGAATGAGCCACCCAATCTATACACTAAATTAAAAGTAGCAATATGTAAATATCTGACTCACCCCCAAAAAACTATGAAGAATGTGCTTGCTTATCTCATGTATCCAAGCTTCTCAGGTTGGTGGGATGATTATGGTGAAGAAATGGAAGGACAAGCAATGGAATCAAGCTAACGTGAGGTTAAGAAAGGCAGTTCTGCAGGTAGCTCTACAAACTGTTTTATACTTTGAATGTCATGCAATATTTTGCGCTAGATATGATCAGAGCTTGTCTCTTAAGAGACAGAGTTACCCCAGGTGTCTTGTTATTCACTCTCTCTGAAGTAAGGTTTTGGCCATTCTCAGAAGACTCCAAAGTGGCAAGTGACAATAATTTATTCTCAGATAGAAAAGATGCAAACTCTTATAGTACTAACATGTTTTTCTTACAAAATATTTTAATAAAATAACGTGATATTTTAGTAAAATATTTATTAAGAAATATTCTAATAAAATAAAATATTAAAATATTTTAATAAAATAAGAACTGTTTTGATAAAATAGCTGATTTTAATAAAATAAAAATAATTTTAATAAAATAATATATGCCAAAGACATTACTAAATTTCTTTTACCTTGTTAGCACGTTTGGAGCATCAATTAACCTAACAGACAGAAGTTTCAGGTTTTAGAATCAAACAAACCTAGATTTCAATCTTAGCTTCTCCACTTAGTAGACATAGGACTAATAAGTTTCAGTTTCCTCACCTTTTAATCAGCTACAAAAATTAGCTAGCTTAAAACTTTTTTGAAAGTATTAAATAAGATAGTATATGCAGATATGTTGCTGTCTGTGAAAATATAAGTATTTAATAAAGGTAACTACAAGTATTAACTAAACATCACTTGAAATAAATATTTTTAAGATTTAGTTCTCAAGCCCATCTGAGACTAGTACATGACAGAGACACATATTTTCTTATTCACAATCACAGTGATTATGAAACTCATTAGGTACTTGTATAGCTATCACGGTACAAGCACCTTTCATTTATTAGAGCCTTAAATTTCTTTTTTTTTTTTTTTAAAGACAGAGTCTCGCTCTGTCGCCAGGCTGGAGTGCAGTGGCACTCAGCTCACTGCAACCCCCGCCTCTTGGGTTCAAGCAATTCTCCTGCCTCAGCCTCCCAAGTAGCTGGGATTACAGGTGTGCGCCACCACGCTCAGCTAATTTTTGTGTTTTTAGTACAGACAGGGTTTCACCATGTTGGCCTTAGATTTTAAAATGGTCTAAGCTAAGATGAGCAAAGCATCAATTTCTATACCTTTTCTGTAATCACATACTTGAGCCCTATGTAAATATAAGCAAAAGTGTAAATTGAGTAATATTATCCTAAAGGGGAAGAAAATAACAAGTGATAAACTGGTTTTCAAGGACTTGTTTGTTTTCAAATAACAATAGATACAAGCCACAATATTTATATAAATAAAAAATCAAATCATCCGATCACAAAATCCAAGGACATATTTTCAAGTCATAAATATTAATAAGCCAAGTTTGACTTCAAATATTAACATGACTGAATCAGCCAGATGTTATTCCATGTATTTTTGTGATTTTGATTTCTGCACAGATATTCATTCCACCATAAAAATGTGTTCAAAGATTGTGAAAATATCACTAGAAATTGAAAGATAGAAATAAATGGAATGCAATATGATTCCTGAATCTTTTATTGGTGTATACCTATTATGGTTATATTAATAGTTCCATCATGATAACAACAGTTAATGTTGAGAAGGTGTGTGAAATGGTAGGTCAGCTAAGGGATCAACTAAAGAAACCAGTGATATTCAGTTTCCATTTATGTATTCTCCTGGTCTCTTTTCAGCCAGCATAGAAAATCACCAGCTCTTGGCCAAATATTGTAGTCCCCACATACACAGTTGAAGGGAAAGACTGTCATTATATTGCTAATATTTGTGAAAATATGACATGACTTTTAAAAAGTCATTTTAAAAAGACATTTAAAAAGTCAAAAGATGTAGCAATTGCCTTTGAAGCATGTTTCCTGTGTCTGTTTCCTCTTCTTCATTTTTGTGCAAGATATCTACCTCTCCATGCAGGCCCTTGAGTCTGCTTTACTCTCTGTAACACCTCCCTCTCTATCTCTGCTTGTTTATTAAGAGTATCATAAGATGAAAATCAAGTCCATGACAGATGGGCATAAGCAGTGATCATAAGATAAATTTGATGAAAGCATGGGGTAAGCACCAAAAGCAAACTGCTATAGCAGATACCAGTATCTATTACAGGGACTCAGTACATATTTCTAGAATGGATATTTCATTTAACCCCACTAATAACACAGTAAAATATGTGTTATTATTCCCTATTAATAAATAGAAAAACTGGTGTTAAACTAGATTGGGTAAATTGCACAGCAAAAAATAAAAATATAGCAAACTGGAAAGAAAAATTACATCAAACAGAATGTGAAGTACATGTTTTTGCCTTTATTCCATTATTCCGTATTTGCCTTCACACTGGTCTCTGTCTATATATGTATGTGTCATATATATGTGTCTCTTCATTTTAACATTGTTTCTTCCTATCTCTTCTGGCTTTTATTCCCTTATAATAACTATAACATCACACAAAAGTTTACAACATTTGCTGCAATTATCAAGTAACACTTTATGTTCTCTGGTTCTCATTTCTAAAAGGAATTTGGAGGCATAAAGGAAAATGTTGAATATGTCTTATTTGAAAAAAAGAGAGAGAGAAAGAGACAGCGCAAGTACAAAACCCTATAATTTTTTTTCTCCCCACGGATCAGGTCAATAATAAAAAATAATAATTTTATATCCCTCCCTATATCATAAAACAATATCTCTTATTTTATTGCTACTAGGCAAGTAAACCAAAATCAAAGACTTCATATTTTTTAATGTGTATACTTAAGTAGCTTAAAGTATAATAGGAAATACAGCAGATGTAGGAATTGAAAACATAAAGCCATTTTTAGCTAATTATACTTTTTAAACTAACATTTATTTTTAAGCTCATTCTGCTGCATTTATCATGGTCATCATGAAGTCAAAGTAGATGGGAAGCAAAAGCAGAGCGGGGGCAGTTAGAAGAAGAAAGACAGAAGAAAAAAGATGTTAGGTCAGTTGAGGATTGGGGTAAGAGGGAAAGAGAATAGACCAGGGAAAATAGCACTTTATGTGAAGAGAATTAAGATTTTTCTTTTTTCAAAAAGCTGTTAGGGAAGAAAACAGAACCCCAACCCATGCAGAAGATAGACATATAATTAGATATTTAACATAATACAGAAAGAGATGGCATTGAGGCATGTTAGAGTAATAAGAATGCCATAGATATTAATAGGACACTTAGCCTAATCTGGGGATGTAGGGAGAAGGAGATTTTGAAGGGTTTGCCCAGTAGAAGTCTTACAGGATGAATAAGAGCGAACAAGAATAGGAAGGCCATTCCAGGCCAAGCCAAATCAAAGCACTAAGAAAATGTGTTGTGTGCTGAGGGGCATAGCAATCTGAAGTTACTGGAATATAGCAGGTAATATGAAGAATAGTGGGAAATAAGTCAACAGATAGATACTTGCAAGTTCATAGAGAGTTTGTCCCTTAGTGTGGGAGTAGTGCCTGGAATCGATGTAAAGTAATATGATCTGCAGTCATTGTTTGGTTACCTTATAATTATTGCAAAGTAGATTTGTTTATATTTTCCCAGCCTTTCATCACCACTGACTCCTTTCATACAAAATTAAAGTAAACATATAAAACATGGACAATTCTTCAACATTCTTTTAAAGAGAGCTATCATTATCATGGAAGCTTTTAATGTTTTTAAGCTGAAGACAAAAAAAATTAAAAATATGAGTGAATATTCCTAACAGCAGAGGTGATTTTTTTTCATGCCTGCAGCATGGAGGAATGAATTTCAACTTAGCAAATACAATGGTAAGTCCTTTATTTTTGTCACTTACAAATGAATAGTAGCAAGATCTCATTTTTTCAATTGCTTTTTTAAATACACATGTCACAATTAAAGCTTTTGAAAAGTGTAGAAGTCCCAGAAAATTATGAGGCAGTCATGTAGCACTGGAGTCCTCTGATCTCCATGCCCTTCCAGGCCTAATGATTATTTTCAATCTTGTAAAACGTAGATAAATCAGCAGAAACCAAATCAAGCTGCTCCACAGCAAATGCCTGACCTCAAGTTGTCTGCAATTTCTTTTCACTCAAATAGGATGTCTCCTTTCAAATTCTCTACTCCATTTAGCACATGCAATTTCTAAATCCATAACATATTCATTCACTTTTTTGTCTCTCCTGAGAAATGTGCCCTGTTCTTGGCATGCTGGGATAACTAAATGAATTTTCCTTCAAAAGGCCAATGTTTTCTAAACTCACTGATTTATCTCAGTCTGCATCCATCAACTTTTGAGTATCCGTCTGTGTTCAGTGCTATGCTAGCTACAGTGGGAGACACCAATAAAACTCCAAGAAAAGAAACTCGGTACTTTTCTCATTGACTTTATGATCAAGTTTTGGGAGACAAGACAACATGCATACAACATCTAGGAAACAATTTGAGACAGTGTATAATTAAGTGTTGAATGTAGTACTGACTGTAAGTGCACAATTCTTCACTAATTACCAATTGCTTTAAGGAATTAATACTTAACTTTGGGGATTTCAATCACAATTTCTCTGTAAGCCTTAATTCTTGAAACCAGCAATTCAATTCATTTCAAAGAGTTACAAACATACCGTGGTTTAGTAAATTATCAGCATTGTTCTCAAAAATGTTTTTTTCCATTAAGCAATTAATTTAAATCCTGATTGTTCTGACCGCCAGGGCCTTTCGGGAGGTGCTTGTTTCTCAGACACAATTTGATTTTTCAAATGAATTTTCAACTGGTGCAGGATTCAGAGCCCTGAGGGGAATGAATATGTTTTCTATCTAGAAGCAGGAAAAAAGGAGAAGTCCATAGCAGGCCAGTTCTCCCCTCTCGTGGGAATGAAACTCCAGCCCTGGGCTTTCCTTTTTCCTGTCTTCCTTTCTTTTCTTTTAGCTACTTTTCTTTCCCTCTTCCTGTCTCCCCTACTTTGATTGTCTTATGGCCCCTCTTCTGCCTTTGTTTTAGTCTGGCTGTAACATTTGATGCAGAAGGGCTGGGCTCCCAGCTAAACCCCACCTTTAAGCCTGGAACTGCAACTCTAAGTGAAAACAGTTGACCCCATTTTTCCACCCAAATGTTGCCTTCTTGGTCTGCCATGCCCCTATCCTGGACCCATAAAAAAGACTTCAACTGGCAGAGCAACACAGGTGGCTGAGGGGCGAGGATACAAGTGGCTGATGGGCGAGGATACAAGTGGCTGAGCGGCGAGTAGAAAAGTAACTTAGTGTCCGAGACTACAGATAGATGCATCTAACTTCAGACAGTGCAGCTTCAGGGAAAGATCACCTTCTTCCCACACCATCTCTTTTCAAACTCCCCATCCTGCTGAGAGCCACTTCCATTGCTCAATAAAATATCCTGCATACACTATCCTTCAGTCCGTTCACGTGACCTGATTCCTTCTGGATGTGAGATAAGAACATGGGTGCGGAGTGGTCGGGGCTTGAGGGTTGCTGCAGGGCCCACACAAAGCCTGCTACCGCCAGAGAGGAGGGACCAGCTGGTTCCAGGGTTTTATTTGCTCTGGTTCCCACACTGTCTTGCTCACACACTCCCTCTTATGAGGAATGGCCAGCGGTGGGATGAGTGAAACAAGCCACTCCAGTTCCCGCCTACTAAGGGGGTCAAGGTCAAGGGAACAATCCTGTCTCACATGGCAGAAAAAGTCTCCTCACTGACACCCCTCAGAAT
Source organism: Homo sapiens (assembly GCF_000001405.40). NCBI lineage: Eukaryota > Metazoa > Chordata > Mammalia > Primates > Hominidae > Homo > Homo sapiens. The sequence goes on from NC_000003.12 coordinate 110,653,159, forward strand.
GGAGGAGGCTCCTGACTCTGATCTTTGATGCCTCCCTTGCCAGCATGTTGGACAGGGGCATAGCATGGATTATGGCAACAGAGAATAAGCTCTTTCCATCTATGGAACGTTTGGAACCTTTAGCCAGTTTCCAGTCAGCTAGTAGGTGTGCTAAGAGGATTGCAAACATATTTTTCTCACTTCCTTCAGCTCCCCTGAGCATCTTCATGGATTCAATCAGCAAGGGCAGTGTAAAGGGCAGCCATACCCAAACTTGCCCTTTGTTTCCCTTTAACCAAGAAATAATGGGCCGCTGTTATGTTTGAAATGACACTTGTTTCCTCTTCTGTCTGAATGTGGTATAGGCTAGAGGACAAGTACATGTTACTCCACTTCTCTGAGCTTCTGTTTTCTCCTCAGTAAGAAAGTGGTATCCACACAATGAGTTGCTATGGAAATGAACTGAGAGGACAGCATGGCAGAAAAGAAAACACAGACTTCCCAGCTTCAAGTCCCAATTCTGCATCTTTCCAGGTAGATAGCCTGAACAAGTTGTATAACTTTTCTATGTTTTAAGTCCTCATCTCTAAACCAGGGATAATATCAGTATCTATTTCATGGACTTTATATCTCAGAATTCAATAAGTTGAATTATGTAATACATATACAAAACTCTGTAAATATTAGTCTTTGTTACGTAAAGCAACTTGTACATAGTTGATACTCTAAAAATGTAAGTTCTCTTCTTTCTGTTCATTTGGAACTACTGGAGGGTGTAATCCCCAGGAGAATGACTACGGCTGTCTACTAGGAAATGTTATTTCCTTATGTTCACTGACCATCACAAAGCCTTCGGCCTTTAGTACACGAGCTTTCAGCAGATCTAGCTATATGCACTGAAGACTTCCTTAGTAAGTCACTAAAAACTCTAAATAATGGTCAAAATAGGACAAAAACGTGCCAACATCAAAAGCATTTTTGCAGTAGACTGTGCAATTAGGAAATTTTAATTTGATGAACATAAAAATATCCAAGAATGCTCAAACAACTTAGATGATAAAAATAGAAATGAATGGATTTGAGAAATTTCTGCTATTATTTTACTTTTTACAAGTCAATGGAAAACAAAATTTATGTAAGTGGTTGAATAAAGATATTTTTTCTTAACATATAGCCCTACCATAATTGATAGCATTTATCTTGTTCTACCTACAATGAGGGTTCAAAAGTGGTCTTGAGCATTTAGTAGATAAACAAAAGATGAAGAGAAAGGAATTTAAAGCATATCACCAAAAAAGTCATCAAATCAAAAAGGAAGACAGCAAGAAAGGAAGAACTGAAAGTAGGAACTACAAAGCAATCAGAAAATGACTAACAAAATGGCAATAGTAAGTCCTTACCTGTCAATAATTACTTCAAACAAAAGTGTTTTTGATGGTGAGCACATTCCTGGGATTGACTAAACTGATGACAGGGGAATAAGAGTACAATTTCCAGTAAGTCTCCCACCCTCCAATTACTAAAACTTTAATTAGTAATTTCTCTCCAAAGCTAAACACCCTGGGAGCCAGATTACTTATGTGATCATGATAATGATAATGATGGCTGATACGTATTGAGTGCTTGCTCTATGTCAGACACTGTCCAATACATTTCACATCTCTTATCTGATCGACTTATATGATCACATTTAATGCTATCACAGCTTAATGAGCAGAAACTATACTTTTTCTTTTTTACAAATAAGTTAGTTCAGAGAGTCAACTACCTTGCTCAAGTTCACACAACTGAAAGGATGATTCCTACTAGTGCAAAGGCAGATAATGCAAATCCGAAAGCAGTTTGCAGTTAACTTTTAAAGTGATTTAATTGGGTCAAGGTTCGTCAACAGCAGAAGTTATCCAATATAAAAATCTGCACAGTCATTAACTTTTATGGTTGCAATATTGGCCTTAAATATCAACTACCTCCTTATTTGCCAAGTCATATAATTCTGCTCCTAGGCACCAAAAACTGAAAATTTTTAAGATACCTTATTTGTGCTGTACCAAATCTCTCCAATCCAACTTATAAAACACAAGCCCTTTCCCAATAGACAGGATCTGTATAAAATCTAATCTTTTTCGTTTTACAAAAGAACAAGTAACAAGGCTTCTGGCCAATTTATACAACAGGTACAGAGGCCTTTAAATTCCTCACTGCCTTCTCCTTATCAAGAAAGTGAATTATTACCAAACTCCCAGCTCTCAAAAAGAGGTCAAAAGTCACTTTGCTCCAAAGTCCTTGCCAGGTAAAATAAAGTGGGAGGAAAATGGCAGTTTTATTCTGAACCAAATTCTTGATTCTCTAGATTAACACAACTTTTAAAACCCAGATAAAATTTGCAAGAATAGTTGTTACGTGAGGGTGGGAGACACGGGGAAGAGGAGGGAGTTGGAGAGAGAGTAAAATACTTGAGAGCCACAAAGAAAGACAGTTCAGAGTAGACAGTAGATAATCAACTATTCCTAAGGTAAAATGGTAGAGTTCGAGTGATGTATATTAAAGCATTATTAAATGAAGAGCTAATCTAGTAATATTGCCTGCTCTCTTACTGTGCATAGAAACTTAAAAGCTATCCAGGCCTTGTCTGGAGGAGAAATGTCCATTAAAGATTGAAGTGCTTTGGAAATCATGTCTCTTGGTATCCCTTTGATGCCCAAAACCAACCTGGAGAACAAAATAAGGGCATGGTACACATATCCACGTATGCAGAAATATGAAGAGGGAGAGAGACCGAAGGGAGATGATAAAATACAAAACAAATTTCAAGACAAGTCAGTCATCAGAATGTCTTTCAGTTTATAGAACCATTTGTAGAAATCAAATTCTTGTTTGCATGTGATTTTGGAAACATGGATTTTCCTAAAGCTAAATGGATAGTGAATTATTTTTTTACAGAAAGTAACCTTGGAGGCCTTTAATATTCTCAGAGGGCTGTTTTGGCTTTGCACATATGGACTACAAAGATTGTAGGAGAATTCTAACTTATAAACTCAATTTGTTCAGATGAATTAGAAAAAAATAGCCTACGAAAGATTAACTTGTAATGCGGTTAAGACAAAAAGGTTACAACTTTATAGTAAGGTTGCTAATACACATGAAGATTTGATTATGAAGTACTGATCCCATATGCCACACTCAAAAGATGCTTTAATTCATGAATAGTAGCGTATCATAACTATGAGAATAGCAGGCAAAATGGCTTCACATATAAATAAAAATTCCAAGGAAGCTGGATACTTAAATGACTTGTTTTCTGGCAAAAGATCCATAGAGTATAGAATGGGTTTGTGTCAAAGTCAATTGCCTGAACGACATGGAAAGCATGTGTATCACACGCTAGACTTCTTGCCAAAAAGGAAATGTCTTTTTCAAATCAACAACTTTGTTATCTCCTTTTGCAACAGTGATTACATTTGAGTTTTACATTATGGGTGCAATGAAGCTGGAATTTACTGCCTTAATAATAGATCAAAGCAAATCAGAAAGTAATTAGTTGATAGAGCAATGAGCTGCTTATCTGAACAACTCGTTTATGGAACATAAAGGAACAGGAAACCCTTGACTTCTATAGCTTTTGAAATAAAGAAGAGGGAAATCTCTATGGAAGTACAGTTTATCAGCAGGGTGAAATCCAACTACATCTATTCTTTTCTCTTGCAAATTAGTTCCTTTTATTCCTTAGGACTAAACTTCCTAATCTGAGAATCCATTTACCTTCATTGCATATGTTTCCCTAAAGGCTGCATATTCATTTTCTGGATATTAGATACCCTATTTACCACAGCCTGGAGCCTGGAGCCATTTGCTGTGCAGGGTTTTCTCCCCTCCCCTTTCAAAGAAGAACGTTATAGTGAAAATTACTGATAAAGGAAGTGAGTGACAGACCCTTATTGAGCAGCTAGTGATCATTACATTTTGATTTTATATTATTATTATTATTTAGCATATTAAGTGCCTACTCTATCATTATTGTGGGTGACTTCTCAGGGAGTAGCAGAGCATTAAGTTTCAAGAGGACAGAGTTTAATATGAGGTTGAAAATGGTTAACAACAGGCTGAGGGCCTAACGAAAACACATTTAGAAAGTCAACCAGAGGGATTTTTATTTTAATGAAAAAGAATAATGAAAAGCCCTCTGCAGGGAGAGCAAATTTGACAAGGTTATTTAAACATATATGTGGGCTTTAATGTTTCAAAGGAGTTTTTTTTAATAGGATTTAATCTAATTTGTAGGTTTGGACCTGAGTTTCAGGGTAGTTGCAAGATAGTCTTAGAGAGCAAGACTCCTTTGCCACCAAATAAGAATGTAGAATAGATTTTAGGGTCTTTGTGTTGGACAGGGACTAAGAGATGGTCTAATTTAACCTCTTCATTCATAGGACAAGACACTGAAGCTCAAAAAGTAAAATGAATTCTCCAAGACCATGAAGCTAGTAAGTAATAGAGCTGTACTGAGGGTCACCATATGATGAGCACTTATGCAGGCCATGTCTGTTAGTAACTTTATATCTGTAATCCCTACGATATACTGCAAGCAAGTATTATTATTGCTATTTTATAGCCAAAAAAAGGAAACTCAAAGGATTTATGTAATATACCAAAAATCACATAGTCAGAAAAAGAAGATTGATGCTGGGGGTTGCCCTTAGCTGCTCACCCCAGCAGAAGGCAGAGCTGTCCGCTGCCCATCACAAAGCCTTCAGCCTTTAGTGCACTAGCTTTCAGCAGATCCAGCCAGGCTCTGTCTTCCAAACCTGTACTATCAACTGACCTGTTTCCATTTGCTTATGCTTTAATTCTGATCTCCTTGACTTGATATTTTGAATGCACCCTAGTTTTCAATTCAGCCCTAACCTCTTCAGAAATTAGATCTTATTCCTCTTGGCTCCTACTTGGGATCACTCCCACCCCTTTTTTCCTTCAGATCCAAGTCCTGAGACCCTACCAAAGGCCAGTGATCCTGGTTCAGAATCAATTGAGGGGCAGGTCAGGTAAAAATCTGATTGGTGCAACTCCAAATTGGGTGGAATGGAGGTGGTAGTGGGTGTTGTGTGATGGCCAGGGTATGCTGGAAAGGAGGGATATGGGACCAATCTGGCAGCCCAGTGATTCAGGTACCATTTCTGTCATCAGAGATTGGTTTATGATTGGAATGCAACTCCCAAATCTACCCTCTAAAATCTGTAGGGTAGTACAGAAGCTGCTGACCTGAGGATAGTCAGCATCAGATTGAGTCAGAGCTACTTTGGCAGTGGGGATCATCTATGGTTCCAGCAGTGAGGTGTGAGGACCAGCAGAAGCAGAGAACCTGAGGCACAGCCTAATACACTGCTCCCCTTCCCAGACCTCTCTGTCACTTCCCCAATCTTCTGCAGGTGGGATCTGTTGCAAGTTGTCAGCAATGCCAGGACCAACTCCCCTGCTTTCTGCTCACATGAGCACCATCTTGGGAGAATAACAGTTTGGGGATTTTCCTCCACTATATCTTGCGCCCACCGTTAATGATCACTTTTAACTTCTTTCAGCCCCAGTTTTATCTCTTAAATAGTATATACCTTAAAAGAATGAATGAAAACTTTGTTTACAGCTGTGGCTGTGACACTGAGGTCTCTTAGTAAATTTAATATATTAAGCCTGAGCCAACGTAGGCCAGAAAGTATGTGAAAATAAATTCACGAATGCATTTCTACTTTTATGACTAATTTCTGTGAGGTAGATCAGATATTTTAAATTTAAACTAATGATCAATATGCCTGAAAACTGCCATTGATATAGCATACATTATAAAAATATTGCAGCTTCCAAACAAAATATGAGAAATCACATCTTAATAAAACTAATATTTTAATTCTTGGGTAAATCCATTAGGAATTTAATTAAACGAAAACCAGCCACTGTACTGCAAAGTTTACAGAACCAATGAAACAATTCCAAAAAAAGTCTCTAATCTACTAAATTTCCTCCTATCTTACATAAGATATAATATAGCATACTATATAAGTGATCCAGTGGATATAGTTTGCTCAGAATTTTTAAATAAGCTTTTTTAAAAGTTTCTTTATAACAGATTATAAAGGGAAAGAAATCAGTAGAGGATAAAGGGCAAAATACTGTGAAGAGTTGCTGTGAAGAGTCATGGAAGTCTTAGTGAACAGCTGTGACTAAGAATGAAGTTAGTAATTAGATATCCAGAGGTCTAGCATTGGTTCTAGCATTGTTCAATACAGTGTATTTGATGAGAAAGAGGTGGAGAAACTGGGAGATGCATTAGTATGTATAGGGATATAGGATTTGACTGCCAAATCTGCCAATGACTCTGCTTTAGGTAGGTGGACCAAGTTGGTCAAGAACAATGAAAGTTATCACATGAATTCAGCATTTTGAGATTTATGCAGAAATGAAGGCACTTACGATTCAACTTGTACCAATAGTCATACCAGCAGAAATTAATCCAAATTTCTCTGAAATCTTTTCTGCAAAGTAAACTGGGTAAAAGACAATCTAATGTCTATGTAAATAGTTAAATGACAAGAGCAGAATGCAATTCTAACATGAATCAGTTGTATAAATATAAAATGTTTATCTATGAATTTCTATAAATTATGATAACAAAGACAAGTACTCATTAATTTTTTTAAATGATTCAATATACTTTGTTTTTATTGGATATTCATGTTATCCTACATTGCCCTAGGCCTTAGCAGACTGTGGTACAAATGAGTTCATATTAGCATTGATACACAAATTTTCATGGAAAAGAGTTATCACTTTCACAACTGCCTCAAAACCTTCAAGGTTTCCAGAGGACTAGCATCATTTCTTTCCTGAGAAAAGCCCACTTTAGCACTAAGACTGGAATCTGGATGCTGCGTGAGAAATCTGCATCCCTAATGTCCTCAGCATTTCTCCCAAAACCACTTAACTGATGTGACAAGAACTTCTGCAAGCCCTTGAGTCTTTAAGAAGGATGTATTCTTCACAACGAGCCACAGCATTACTTTTGATATCACATGCTCCTCCAGGACCTTGCTACTCTCTCATTAAGAAGTAGATTCTCTTTTTTCTACCCTTGAAACTGGGCAGGCTTGAAACAATAGAATAAGTAGAATAAGGCAGAAGTGATGCTATGTGACTTCCAAGACTAGATAACAAAAAGGATATAGCTTCTTCCCAGCTGTCCCCTTTAAGATCTTGGCACTTAGAACTCAGCCACCATTTTGTGAGGAACCACAAACCACACGTAAATACCATGTGTAAGTGTTCCCATCAGCATCCCCAGGTACGATATTAGTATACAGCTGCATCAATTGCTAGATGTGCACAAAAAGCAGACTTCAGGCTAGGTACAGTGGTTCACACCTATAATCCCAGCATTTTGAGAGGCTGAGCCAGGAGGATTGCTTGAGTGCAGGAGTTCGAGAGCAGTCTAAGCAACACAGTGAGACTCTGTCTCTACAATAAAAAAAATTAGCCAGGCATGGTGGCACACACCTGTACTCCCAAATAACAGGAGTTCCAGGCTGCAGTGAGCTGTGATTGTAGCACTACACTCCAGCTTGGGAGATGAAGCAAGACCCTGTCTCAAAAAAAAAGCCTTTAGATTATTCCAACTGCTAGCTTTGGAGTTGCTCAGCTGACTCCTAGTCAAGCAGCAATGAGTTATCCCTGCAAAATTCTGTCCAAATTGCAAAATGTGAGCAAAAGAAATGTTGTTATTGCTTTTTGCCACTGTTCAGGGTGGTTTGTTATGCAGTATTACATAGCTGAAGCAATCCTCCTTCATTGCAGCTACACATATTTCAACACGGAACTGAGAATACCAACATCCTTAATTCTATGTGAGAATTTGAACATAAATTCCAAGCCTATGCCTACCCAAATACTACAGAATCCTTCACAAAAACAAGCCTCATGGCTTCTGCTTTAGACATTTCCCAAAAAGAAGCCACTGAAGATTCTTGGCCCAGCACAAAGGTCTTCTGTCATCTCAAGGTCACTATTTCTCCCCAAGGAACTTTATTCCTAAATTTCCTAATAGCAGACTCCTTTTATGCATACATTTCAACATGTAAATAGGTGCCTGTGCATTAAAGATAGGGCTAAGTAACTGTTCCATAATTTCAGATGGAACATGAGATTCACTCAAATTCCCACTTCAGGCCCAACTTGCTCCCATTATGTTTTATAACCACATCTGAAAGGGAAACCTTCTAAGAGGCTGTGATTTCATTCTCTGTCATGGCAATGTCATTTGATGAGTAAAGTGGCCAGACAATATAAATAAAAATAAACGAAATTTTATTCTTGGAGGGAGACATTTTCTTGTTAGAAATCTACTTTATGAAGGTTACAGGGCTACAATAGAAGTCAAAAATGTTAATACTTCTTAGAAAGAATGTCACACTACCAAGCTAACACTTAGCGGGGGTAAAGTAGGAGGGTTATTGACAGGGTTTGGCTCTGTGTCCAAATCTTATCTCAAATTGCAATCCCCATATGTCGAGGGAGGGACATGGTGGGAGGTGATTGGATCATGGGGGCAGTTTCCCCCAGGCTCTTCTTGTGATACGGAATGAGTTTTCACAACATCTGATGGTTTAAAAGTGGTACTTCCTGCTTTTCTCTCTTTCTCTCTCTCTCTCTCTCTCTCAAGATGAGGAACTTATTGGGAACTGGAGTAAAGATTACTCTTGCCTATACTTTAGCAAAGAGACTGGCAGCATTTTGCCCCTGCCCTAGAGATCTATGGAACTTTGAACTTGAGAAAGATGACTTAGGGTATCTGGTGAAAGAAATTTCTAAGCAGCAAAGCATTCATGATGTGACCTGGCTTTCTCTAAAAGCTTACATTCAAATGCATTCACAAAGAGATGGTTTGAAACTGCAAGTGATATTTAAAAGAAAAGCAGAGCATAAAGGTTTGGAAAATTCACATCCTGACCATGTGGTAGAAAAGAAAAGCCTATTTTTTGGGAAGAAATTCAAGCCAAAGCCAGCTCCAGAAATTTGCATAAGTAACAAGGAGTCTAATGTTAACAGCCAAGACAATAGGGAAAATGTCTCCAGGGCATTTTGGAGATCTTCACAGCAGTCCCTCCTATCATATGCCTGGAGGCCTAGGAGAGAAAAAAGGTTTTGTGGGCCAGGCCCAGGGCCCCACTGCTCTGTGCAGTCTTAAGACAAGGCACTCTGCATCCCAGAGGCACCAGCGCCAGCCATGGCTAAAAGGGGCCAAGGTACAGCTCAGGCCACTTCTTCAGATGGTGCAAGCTCCAAGCCTTGGCAGCTTCCATGTGGTGTTGGGCCTGTAGGTGCACAGAAAACAAGAGTTGAAATTTGGAAGCCTCTACCTAGATTTCAGAGGATGTACAGAAATGCCTGGATGTTCAGGCAGAAGTCTGCTGCAAGGATAGAGCCCTCATTTCCTCTCTGCTAGGGCAATACAGAGGGGAAATATGGGATTGGGACCCCCATACAGAGTCCCCACTGGGACACTGCCTAGTGGAGCTGTTAGAAGAGCCCACCAACCTCCTAGATCCACTGACAACTTGGACTGTGCACCTGGAAAAGCCGCAGGCACTCAATGGCAGCCCATTAAAGCAGCCATGGGGGTTGTACCCTGCAGAGTCACAGGGGCAGAGCTGCCCAAGATCTTGGAAACCCACCTCTTGCATCAGGGTTTGGTTCTGTGTCCTTACCCAAATCTCATCTTGAATTGTAATATGCATATGTCAAGGGAGGGACCTAGTGGGCAGTAATTGGATCATGGGGGAAGTTTCCCCCATGCTGTTCTAGTGATAGTGAATGAGTTCTCATGAGATCTGATGGTTTAAAAGTGGCACTTCCTGCTTCGCTCTCTCTCTCTCTCTCCTGCTGCCATGTAAGACATACCTTGCTTCCCCTTGGCCTTCTGCCATGATTGTAAGTTTCCTGAGGCCTCCCCAGTCATGTAGAACTGTGAGTCAATTAAACCTTTTTCCTTTATAAATTACCCAGTCTCAGGTATTCCTTAGAGCAGTGTGAAAATGGACTAATACAGTTATAGAAAAAACTCTTTATGCTTTATAAAACTATGAAAAGCTATGAGTTATAAGACCCTACACTGGACAATTAGAGAAGAACTGAAAGGATATTCCAAATAAGTGATATGGAAATAAATAAATCTCTTGTTAAGAAATAAATGGGATCTAAAATCAAGTGAAAAACTATATAACCTTCACCCTAAGCCATAGGATTATATATGTCCTCTATAGCAGAGAACTTTTAAACACAAAAATTGAAATTAATTATAAGATAATTATGAGATTCAGAAATTGAAGCAAGTACAATAATTTTTTTATTTTTCTTATTGATAACTTCATTTTACAAAAGCAGTACAAATTAGAGAGTTCTAGGTACATACTAAAAATTAATACACATTTGAAAATCATACATAAATATAATCATATATAATATCTCATAAGTTCATTGCAATACTTTCATTTTGAGCAATGTTTGGCTTGATAATTTGTAAAGAATTATGGCTTTTTAATTTTAATAGCTAATTATAACTAATAATAATTGTAGCTTCTAGCCATTTAGAATTCAATGGAACCAGTCACTGCACTAATTACTGACAGTATCTTCCTTCATCCTCATAACAACTCTTTGAGATATATATTATTATTTGTTATCTCTGGAGCAAAACAGCTTAAATAACTTTCTCAGTATCCTACAACTGGCAGAACCAGGCAACTAAGGGAGGCTATATAACCCCAAACTTGTGTTCTGAACCCCTGAAATAAAATCCTCCTGTAGTCATGTGAACTGTGGCATCAAAACTTTTATGTTAAAGGAAGTCCTTAACACCTCAGTTTAGGATTAAGAAGACTACGGCTCAATCTAATTCTAATTATTCCCCAATGTGTCACTGACTGCTTCCCAGAAAAGAAACCAGTTATCTTCTTTCTCCCTCTGCAACAACCACCATGACATTTCATCTCAGGGGCCTTGCTTCTCTTATGTATTTCAGGAGTGAGATCCAGGGACTCGGGATTTAAGGGGTATCAGGAAAAGGAATTTGATTGTAGGGAGAAAAGTATTACTTCCATGCCAGCTTGACAACCACACCCCTAAAAGCCCTGCCAACCTCCATGTTCTCTTTTTTTATTTTCTTAAGGAGATATTCAAAATATGTTCATGCCAATGCAATGACACTATATCTTACTTTCCTCTTATTGAAAAGGTCAAGGAATTTGGCTCTTAGAAAAGGAAGTAATGGTAGGCAAATTCCAAATATAGACACTTCTAACTGATTTGGGCAGAAAGGACATTCCACGTTGATTGAGCACTCAGCTACAGAATCATTATTAGCCAGCTTTCCATGATTAGCAGTGTCAGAGAATTGAAATTAATGTAAATATGATATTTTCACTTTAAAAGGATGACCACAGAGTTTTAATCTTGTCTATTAGCATGAACAATTTATCCTTAATATGCCACATATATTAGTAATTGAAAATTACATGATTTAATTTGCTCTCAGGCAGCATTTGTAGGGTGGCTAATTTAATCATTAATATATAATTAAAAGTAAAATCTCACAAATAAAGGAAGATCATCAAACATCCTTTATACACTGCAGTAGATATGACAGATGATTGGTTTAAAAGAGAAACAATAATCTTTGCCATGATCTTTTGCAATGGAATCTTGTAAGCTTTTCCCTTTAGGAGGCATTCATATCTTCTCCCCATGTTTCTTTACTGGAGTTATGACTTCTTCAACCAGTAAAATGTGGCAAAAATGATAGTGTACCAATTTCAGGTCCACTTCTCAAAAGTCCTAGTAGCTTTCACTTTTCCTCGTGGGATCCAACCTATACCCCACACACCCCTGCAACTGATAGGCAGGCAATGCCTGCTAGAGCTACTAGCCCAGCAGTCTTGCCTCTGTGTGAACTCAGCTGGAGAGTGCAGCTTCCTAATGTCCTGCTTGAGCATGCCCCCACCACTGGTAGCCAGGTGGGCAACATTTGCTAGAGCTTCTGACCCAGCAGCCACAATTCTATGTGAACTCAGCTGGAGGGCACAGCCTCCTGATATTCCAGGAAACATTTGATCAGCAAGGCACATGACTCTACCACCCCCACCACCAATAGTCAGGTGGGCAACACCTGCTAGAATGTCCAGCCCAGAAGCCCTACATCTGCTTCAATCTGCCAAGGGGCACAGGCTCCTTTTTCGCTAGAAATATCCAAATAGCAGTGCTGACAATCCCACCCACTCCCACCTTCCATAGCCAGATAGGTCACATCCACTAGAGTTTCCAGGCAAATCATCCCACTTCAGCCTGAACTCTGCTGGCAGATGCAACCTCATCTTTCCCCAGAAAGTACATGAATAGAAGATTAAGGCCAGCTTGACAAGGAAACAGCTTGTCGGCCAACTGCAGCCCCGGCCTGAACAAGCCCCATGCACCAGAATACCCAACAAAAAAAGTGCAGACACTAGACAGTAATTGGAGGGGGCTCCTCCAAGACCCAGGAAAAATCTAGAATTGAAGACAGTCAACCAAACCCACCTTATACCATAATCAAATTCCCAAGGGCATCAACGAAGAAAAAGGTAAAACAATCCACCCAAAGGACACCAACTTCAAAGACTGAAAAAACATCAGAATACACAAATGAGAAAACCAGCACAAGAACTCTTGGCAACTCAGAAAGTCAGGGTGCCTTGTTTTCTCTAAATGATCATACTAGTTCTCCAGCAAAAGGTCTTGACCAGGCTGAGATAGCTGATGACAGAAATAGATTCAGAAAATGGATAGGGGAAAAGAAGCGGCTTGCCACTGCAAACTCCCTGAGAAAGACGAAAAACTGCGGGTGCTCAAAATGTAAGGGAGGAAAGTCTTTCTCCAAACATACATCCTCACTGGGGAACCTGAAAATCCAGATCATGGGAGAAGGATTTAACCTTACCTAGACCTGAAATGAATTTAAAGAGCCAAGCAAAATATAAAAGTAGAGGCAGCAGAAAGAGCCTTGTAGGCACTCTTGTTCCCCAAGGAAGCCATTTCTGACTTTATCTCACAGGGGCCCTTGGGGAGGGCTGCCACTGAAATTGAGAGGGACAAGAGGGAGAAGGCAACTTCCAGCTGAACTTCATAACAATTTTAACTGGGTGTGAATTTTCCTGGACAGAATCTAGGGGTCAGGGAGCAAATGAGATATGCAGATACAAGCGCAGAAGCTGTGGCAGGCAGGGAGGGACAGGGCCTGAAAGCCCTTTTTGCTTTCTCAATGCGGAGGCTTGTATCCTGGTGCAAAATCTCAGCCCTGCTCACCAGCTGCCTGGATATAAAATTCAGTGCTGTTGGTGGGGCATGGTGGGAGTAAAACTGGCCTTGCTGGCTGCATGCAAGCTGGATGAGGCCTGTCACTGCTGGCCTTCCCCCACTTCCCTGGCAGCCAGTATGACACAGCAGAGACACCCATAATCCCCTAGAAACATAACTTGATTAGCTTGAGAACCACACCCCCATTCCCCACAGCAGTTGCAGCAAGCTCCGCCCAAGGAAAGTCTTGAGTTCAGACACCCCTAAACCTGCCCCTACCTGATGGTCTTTCTCTACCTCCCCTGGCAGCCAAAGACAAAAGACATAATCTCTTGGGAGCTCTATGGCTCTGCCCATTGTCTGAGAAACTCGAATACTTATCCAGGTGACCTTAAGGAAAGCTTGTATCCCCACTATACTACTGCAGCTGATGCAACTCTGGAAAGTACCACCTCCTGGTTAAAGGCAAACAAACTTAAGCCATTACAGCAACTCATAAAAGAACAACCCTACTCCAAGAAAAAAGAAAACAACAGCTAATTCCACCATCTATAACATTCTGGCTAACCAAAGGTCTTGAGTCTGTCCATGTGACAATTCCACTGCTACCACAACCAGCATTTGAGAAAAACAGCACAAAACAAAACTATGACCAAGGACCATCACAGAGTCCACCTCACTCCCCTGCTACCTCCGCTGGAGCAGGTGCTGATATCCAAGACTGAGATATCTGAAGACAGGTCACATCAAAGGACTCTTTGCAGACACTTTCCTAGTACCAGCCCAGAGATCGGTAGCTCCACTGTGTGCCTAGACCCAGAAGGGCAATAACAATCACTGTCGTCCAGCTCTCAGGAAGCACCATCACTAGCAGAAGGGGAAGAAAACCACATCAAGGGATCACCCTGTGGGACAAAAGAATCTGAATAGCTGGCCCTGTGCCCCAGATCTTTCCATTGAAACAGTGTACCCAAATGAGAAGGAAGCAGAAAAACAATTCTGGTAATATGACAAAGCAAGATTTGTTAGCACCCCCAAAAGATCACACTAGCTTACCAGCAATGGATCCAAACCAAGAAGATATCTCTGAATTGCCAGAAAAAGAATTTAAAAGGTTGATTATTAAGCTACTCAAGGAAGCACTAGAGAAACATGAAAAACAACTTAAAGAAATGTTAAAAATTATACAGGATATAGATTAAAAACCTCCCAAGAAATAGATAGCATAGATTAAAAAACCATCACAACTTCTGGAAATGAAAGACACACTTGGAGAATTGCAAAATACACTACAAAAAGTTTCAACAATAGAATCAAGCAAGTAGAGTAAGAACTTTAGAGCTTGAAGGCAAGGATTTTGAATTAACCCAACCCAACAAAGACTAAGAAAAAAGAATTTAAAAAATGAACAAAGAATATGCATTCTATTCATTACCACATGGAACAATCTTCAAGATAGACCATATGATAGGCCACAAAATAAGTCTCAATAAATTTAAGAAATTCAAAATTATATCAAGTACTCTCTCAGACTACAGTGGAATAAAATTGGAAATCAACTCTGAAAATAACCCTCGAAGCCATTCAAATACATGGAAAATAAATAACCAGATCCTGAATGATCATTGGGTCAACAATGAAATCACGATGAAAATTTAAAAATTCTCTGAACTAAACCATAATAGTGACACAACCTATCAAAACCTCTGGGACACAGAAGAAGTGGTGCTAAGAGGAAAGTTTATAGCATTAAACATCTACATCAAAAAGGCTGAAAGAGCACAAATAGACAACATAAGGTCACATCTCAAGGAACTAGAGAAACAAGAACAAACCAAATCCACACCCAGCAGAATAAAAGAAACAACAAAGATCAGAGCAGAAGTAAATGAATTAAAAAAAAAAAAAGATAAATGAAGCAAAAAGCTGGTTTAAAACTGATAGACCATTAGTGAGATTAACCAAGAAAAGAAGAGAGAAGATCCAAATAAATTCAATTAAAAATGAAACAGGAGATATTACAACCCATACCACAGGAAATAAAACAGAATATGGATAGGAACAAAGATCATTGAGATTCAGGAGAATGTTGAAACCCACTCCAAGAAACCTAAGAATCACAATAAAACAATACAGAAGCTGATAGACAAAATAGTCAGTATGGAAAAGAATGTAACCAACCTGACAGAGCTGACACACACACTACAAGAATTTTATAATGCAATTGCAATTATTAACAGAGGAATAGATCAGGAAGAGAAAAGAATCTCAGAGCTCGATGACTGGCTTTCTGAAATAAGACAGAAAAGAAAAGAATGAAACAAAAGAATGAAATGGAACAAACAAAATCTCCAAGAAATATAGGATTATATAAAGAGACAAAATTTATCAATCAGTGGCATCACGGAAGAGATGGCAAGAAAGAAAACCACTTAGGAAACATATTTCAGGATATCATCCATGAGAACTTCCTCAACCTAGCTATAGAAGCCAACATTCAAATTTAAGAAATGCAGAGGGGCCAGGTGTGGTGGCTCACACCTGTAATCCCAGTACTTTGGGAGGCCGAAGCAGGAGGATCATGTGAGGCCCAGAGTTCTAGACCAGCCTGGCCAACATGGAAAATGCAGTCTCTACTAAAAAATACAAAAAATTAGCCATGCATGATGGTGCATGTATGTAATTCCAGCTACTCAGGAGGCTGAGGCACAAGAATCACCTGAACCCAGGAGCCAAAGATTGCAGTGAGCCAAGATTATACCACTGCACTCTAGCCTGGGCAACAGGGAGAGACTCTGTCTAAAAAAAAAAAAGAAAAAAAAAAACAGGAAAAGAAATGCAGAGAACCCCCACAAGATACTTCACAAGAATGACTTCTTCAAGACACATAGTCATCAGATTCTCCAGGGTCAAAATAAAAACTAAAATGTTGAAGGCAGCTAGAGAGAAAAAACAGGTCACCTAGAAAGGGAACGTCATCAGGCTAACATCAGACTTATCAGGACAAATCCTACAAGCCAGAAGATACTGATGGCCTATATTCAACATTCTTAAGAAAAGGAATTCCAACCAAAAGTTTAATATCTGGCTGATATGGTTTGGTTGTGTCCCCACCCAAATCTCATCTTGAATTGTAACTCCCACAATTCCCACAAGGAATCTGGTTGGAGGTAACTAAATTATGGGGCGGGTCTTTCCTGTGCTGTTCTCATGATAGTGAATAAGACTCACCAGATCTGATGGTTTTAAAAATGGTAGTTTCTATGCCCAAGCTCTCTTTCTCTTTGCCTGCCACCATCCATTTAAGATGTGACTTGCTTCCTCTTGCCTTCTGCCACAACTGTGAGGCCTCCCCAGCCATATGAAGTTGTAAGTCCATTAAACCTCTTTCTTTTGTAAATTGCCAGTCTTGGTTACGTTTTTATAAGCAGCATGAAAACGAACTAACATAGTAAATTAGTACAAGTAAAGTGGGGCACTGCTGAAAAGATACCCAAAAATGTAGAAGTCACTTTGGAACTGGGTAACAGGCAGAAGTTGGAACAGTTTGAAGGGCTCAGGAGAAGACAGGAAAATGTGGGAGAGTTTGGAACTCCCCAGAGACTTGTTGAATGGCTTTGCCCAAAATGCTGATAATGATATGGACAATGAAATCCAGGCTAAGATGGTCTCACATGAAGATGAGGAACTTGTTGGGAACTGGAGCGAAGATGACTCCTCTCATGTTTTAGCAAAAAGACTGGTGGCATTTTGCCCCTGCCCTAGAGATCTGTGGAACCTTGAACTTGAGAGAGGTAATTTAGGGTATCTGGCAGAAGAAATTTCTAAGCAGCAAAGCATTCAAGAGGTGACTTGGGTGCTGTTAAAGGCATTCAGTTTTAAAAGTAAAACAGAGCATAAAAGTTTGGAGAATTTTCAGCCTGACAATGCAATAGAAAAAACAAAACAAAGCAAACATTATCTGAGGAGAAATTCAAACTAGCTGCAGAAATTTGCAGAAGTAATGAGAAGCCAAATGTTAATTGCCAAGACAATAGGGAAAATGTCTCCAGGGCATGTCAGAGACCTGTGAGGCATCCTGTTCCATCACAGGCCTGGAGGCCTAAGAGGAAATAATGGTTTTGTGGGCTAAGCCCAGGGCCCCCCTGCAGGGATTTGGTGCCCTGCACCCCAGCTGCTCTAGCCATGGATAAAATGGACCAAGGTGCAGCTTAGGCACCACTTTAGAGAGTGTAAGCAACAAGCTGTGGCAGCTTCCATGTGGTGTTGAGTCTGCAGGTACACAGAAGTCAAGAATTGAGGTTTGGGAACCTCTGCCTACATTTCAGAGGAAGTTTGCTGCAGAGGCTGGGCCTTCATGAGGAACCTCTGCTAATGCAGTGTGAAGGGGAAATGTGGGATCATAGCACCCACACAGAGTCCCTACTGGAGCACTGCCTAGAGGAGCTGTGAGAAGAGGGCCACTGCCATCCTCCAGACCCCAAAATGGTAGATCCACTGAGAGCTTGCACCATGTGCCTGGAAAAGCTGCAGACACTCAATGCTAGCCCATGAAAGCAGCCAGGAGGGAGGCTATACACTGCAAAGCCACAAGGATGGAGATGCCCAAGCCTGTAGGAGCCCACCTTTTGAATCAGCATGACCTAGATGTGAGACATTGAGTCAAAGCAGATCATTTAGGAGCTTTAAGATTTGACTGTCCTGCTGAATTTTGAACTTGCATGGGGCCTGTAGCCCCTTTGTTTTGCCAAATTTCTCCCAGTTGGAATGGCTGTATTTTCCCAATGCTTGTACCCTAGTTGTGTCTAGGAAGTAACTAACTTGCTTTTGATTTTATGGGCTCACAGGCAAAAGGGACTTGCTTTGTCTCAGATGAGACTTTGGACTATGGACTTTTGAGTTAACGCTGAAATGAGTTAAGACTTTGGGAAACTAAGGACTCTCTTCCGAGATGGCCGAATAGGAACAGCTCCAGTCTGCAGCTCCCAGCGAGATAGATGCAGATGAGTGATTTCAGCATTTCCAACTGAGGTATCTGGTTCATCTCATTAAGACTGGTTGGACAGTGGGTGCAACCCACAGAGGGTGAGCCGAAGCAGGGTGGGGCATCACCTCACCTGGGAAGCACAAGTGGTCAGGGATTTCCCTTTCCTAGCCAAGGGAAGCCATGAGAGACTGTACTGGGAGGAATGGTACATTCCTGCCCAAATACTACACATTTCCCACCGTGTTTGCAACCAGCAGACCAGGAGATTCCCTCCAGTGCCTGACTCAGGGGGTCCCACACCCATGGAGCCCAGCAAGCTGAGATCCATTGGCTTGAAATTCTTGCTGCTAGTGCAGCAGTCTGAGATTGACCTGGGATGCTGGAGCTTGGTGGGGGGAGGGGCGTCTGCCATTGCTGAGGCTTGGGTAGGTGGTTTAATGCCCACAGTGTAAACAAAGCTGCCGGGAAGCTTGAACTGGGCAGAGCCCACCACAGCTCAGCAAAGCCAAGTGCCTCTCTAGAGTCCACCTCTGTGGGCAGGGCATATCTGAATAAAAGGCAGCAGCCCCAGTCAGGGACTTATAGATAAAACCCTCATCTCCCTGGGACAGAGCACCTGGGGAAAGGGACAGCTGTGGGCAAAGCTTCTACAGACTTAAATGTCCCTGCCTGACAGCTCTGAAGAGAGCATGTTTCTCCCAGCGCAGTGTTCAAGCTCTGATAATGGACAGACTGCCTTCTCAAGTGTGTCCCTGACCCCCATGTAGCCTGACTGGGAAACACCTCCCAGCAGGGGCTAACAGACACCTCATACAGGAGAGATCTGGCTGGCATCTAGCAGGTGCCCTTCTGGAATGAAGCTTCCAGAGGAAGAATCAGGCAGCAATATTTGCTGTTCTGCAGCTTCTGCTGGTGATACCCAGGCAAAAAGGGCCTGGAGTGGACTTCCAGCAAACTTCAACAGACCTGCAACTGACGGGCCTGTCTGTTAGAAGGAAAACTAACAAACAGAAAGGAATAGCATCAATATCAACAAAAAGGACATCCACACCAAAACCCCATCTGTAGGTCACCAACATCAAAGACCAAAGGTAGATAAAACCACAAAGATGGGGAGAAACCAGAGCAGAAAGGCTGAAAATTCCAAAAGCCGGAATGCCTCTTCTCCTCCAAAGGATCACACTTCTCGCCAGCAATGGAACAAAACTGGATGGAGAATGAGTTTGATGAGTTGACAGAAGTAGGCTTCAGAAGGTGGGTAAAACAAACTTCTCCGAGTTAAAGGAGCATGTTCTAACCCATCACAAGGAAGCTAAAAACCTTGAAGAAAGGTTAGAGGAATGGCTAAACTAAAATAATGAGTGTAGAGAAGAAAATAAATGACCCAATGGAGATGTAAAATACAGCACGAGAACTTCATGAAGCATAAACAAGTTTCAATGGCTAATTTCATCAAGCAGAAGAAAGGATATCAGTGATTGAAGATCAAATTAATGAAATAAAGCAAGAAGACAAGATTAGAGAAAAAAGAGTGAAAAGAAACTAATGAAGCCTCCAAGAAATATGGGACCATGTGAAAAGACCAAATCTATGTTTGATTGGTGTACCTGAAAGTGACGGGGAAAATGGAACCAAGTTAGAAAACACTCTTCAGGATATTATCCAGGAGAACTTCCCCAACCTAGCAAGGCAAGCCAACATCCAAATTCAGGAAATACAGAGAACACCACAGAGATATTCCTCAAGAAGAGCAACCCCGACATACATCATCATCAGATGCACCAAGGTTGAAATGAAGGAAAAAAATGTTAAGGGCAGCTGGAGAGAAAGGTCTGGTTACTCACAAAGGGAAGCCCATCAGACTAACAGCAGATCTCTCTGCAGAAACCCTACAAGCCAGAAGAGAGTGGGAGCCAATATTCAATATTCTTAAAGAAAAGAATTTTCAACTCAGAATTTCATATCCAGTCAAATTAAGCTTCATAAGCAAAGGAGAAATAAAATCCTTTACAGATAACTAAATGCTGAGACATTTTGTCACCACCAGGCCTGCCTTACAAGAGCTTCTTGAAGGAAGCACTAAACATGGAAAGGAACAGCCAGTACCAACCACTGCAAAAACATGCCAAATTGTGAAGACTACTGATGCTATGAAGAAACTGAATCAACTAACGGTCAAAACAACCAGCTAGCATCATAATGATAGGATCAAATTCACACGTAACAATATTAACTTAAATATAAACAGGCCAAATGCCCCAGTTAAAAGACACAGACTGGCAAATTGGATAAAGACCCATCGGTGTGCTGTATTCAGGAGACTGATCTCATGTGCAAAGACGCACACAGGCTCAAAATAAAGGGATGGAGGAACATCTACCAAGCAAATGGAAAGCAAAAAAAAAAAAAAAAGAAAAAAAAAATGCAAGGGTTGCAATCCTAGTCTCTGATACAACAGATTTTAAACCAACAAAGATCAAAAGAGACAAAGAAGGCCATTACATAATGGTAAAGGCATCAATTCAACAAGAAGAGCTAACTATCCTAAATATATATGCAACCAATACAGGAGCACCCAGATACATAAAGCAAGTTCGTAGAGATGTATGAAGAGACTTAGACTCCCACACAATAATAATGGGATACTTTAACACCCCACTGTCACTATTAGAGAGATCAACAAGACAGAAAATTAACAAGGATATCCAGGACTTGAACTCAGCTCTGCACCAAGCGGACCTAATAGACATCTACAGAACTCTCCATCCCAAATCAACAGAATATACATTCTTCTCAGCACCACATCACACTTATTCTAAAATTGACCACATAATTGGAAATAAAACACTCCTCATCAAATGTAAAAGAACAGAAATCACAACAAACTGTCTCTCAGAACACAGTGCAATCCAGTTAGAACTCAGGATTAAGAAACTCACTCAAAACTGCACAACTATGTGGAAACTGAACAACCTGCTCCTGAATGACTACTGGGTAAATAACAAAATGAAGGCAGAAATAAAGATGTTCTTTGAAACCAACGAGAACAAAGACACAACATACCAGAATCTCTGGGACGCAATTAAAGCAGTGTGTAGAGGGAAATTTATAGTAGTAAATGCCCACAAGAGAAAGCAGGAAAGATCTAAAATCGACACCCTATCATCAAAATTAAAAGAACTGGAGAAGCAAGAGGAAATAAATTCAAAAGCTAGCAGAAGACAAGAAACAACTAAGATCAGAGCAGAACTGAAGGAAATAGAGACACAAATAACCCTTCAAAAAATCAATGAATCCAGGAGCTGGTTTTTTGAAAAGATCAACAAAATAGATAGACCACTAGCAAGACTAATAAAGAAGAAAAGAGAGAAGAATCAAATAGACACAATAAAAAATGATAAAGGGGATATCACCACTAATCCCGCAGAAATACAAACTACCATCAGAGAATACTATAAACACCTCTATGCAAATAAATTAGAAAATCTAGAAGAAATAGATAAATTACTGGGCACATACACCATCCGAAGACTAAATCAGGAAGAAGTCGATTCTCTGAATAGACCAATAGCAGGTTCTGAAATTGAGGCAATAATTAATAGCTACCAACCAAAGAAAGTCCAGGACCAGAAGGATTCACAGCCAAATTCTACCAGAGGTACAAGGAGGAGCTGGTACCATTCTTTCTGCAACTATTCCAATCAATAGAAAAAGAGGAAACCCTCCCTAACTCATTTTGTGAGGCCAGCCTCCTACTGATACCAAAACCTGGCAGAGACACAAC